>NC_000013.11:75377802-75529318 GCF_000001405.40 Homo sapiens | reverse complement strand
TCGATCTCCTGACCTTGTGATCCACCCACCTTGGCCTCCCAAAGTGCCAGGATTACAGGCGTGAGCCACCGGGCCCGGCCAGGTTTTCTTTTAAATGTACATACTGGAGATGTTTTGTCATTAATTTAACTGTCCTGTACAGTTTTGTTTTTGTTTGGTTTGTTCCTTTTGGTATGAATAGGTAGGAATCTATTCTTAGCACTTACACTAGTACGAAGTTAGTACTTACACTTAGTACTTAAACAGCAGTTAGTACTCTAAAAGTCAGAGAAAGCAACCATCGTGAATGAAATGGAAATAAAAAGTGATTCTTTGTAAAACTAACTAAAATTATATTGGTCCTAGGCTTCCTTTTAAAGAAAACCCTTTCATATACCACTTTATGATACTTTTGATTTCTGCTTTTATAAACTACATTTTAAATAATTTGTTTCCCTTTCATTTCTTTTTTTTTTTCTTTTTTTTTGGGACACAGTTTCACTCTTTTTGGCCAGGCTGGATGCAATTGCAGTGCAATGGTATGATCTAGGCTCACTGCAACCTCTGCCTCCTGGGTTCAAGCGATGCTCCTGCCTCAGCTTCCTGAGTAGCTGGGATTACAGGCACGCAGCACCACGCCCAGCTAATTTTTGTATTTTTAGTAGAGATGAGGTTTCACCATGTTGGCCAGGCTGGTCTGAAACTCCTGACCTCAGTTGATCCATCCACTTCTGAAACTCCTGACCTCAGTTGATCCGTCCACTTTAGCCTCCCAAAGTGCTGGAATTACAGGCGTGAGCCACCATGCTCAGCCTGATTTCTTTATTTAAAATAGATATCCGTGCTTTGAAACAAAAATAATGTTCACAAATTTAACATTATTAATATTGATTAGTGTCTTGGAACTGAGACTTAGTGAAAAGGAAATAAATGTATATTGTGATATGGGAATAACATTCAACTAAATATGAGGACTCAGTCAATTTCGAAAGAGAATACACGTTTTGGTCTTTTTTGTAATTCACAGTGCTGGCCTAATTGTTATTATTCTGTGCAGCATTTGTGCTGTCCTGATTCCACCTCTAGAAATTTTTTCCTATAGGAAAAAAAAAATCACAATTGGATTAACTTTTTTTCCCCAGCTTTATTGAGGTACAGTTGACAAAATTGTGTATTTTGAAGGTTTCACAATGTGATGATATGATAAAAGATATACATTGTGTAAAGATTACCACAGTCACTCTAATTAACACATCCACCCCCACACAGTTACCTTTTTTTTTTTTGGAGAGAGTGTGTGCATGTATGTGTGTGTGTGTGTGTGTGTGTGTGTGTGTGCTGAGGGCATGTAAAATGTTTTTTAGCAAATTTCAAGTAAACAATAACAATATTACTGTAGTCACCATATTGTACATTAGATCTCAGACTTACTCATTTTGTAACCAAAAGTTTGTACCTTTTTACTAACATTTCCCCATTGACCCCCAGCCTCAGCTCCTGGCAACCTCCAGTCTCCTTTCTGCTTCTGTGAGTTTGACTTTTTTAGATTCCACATATAAGTGAGATCACGCAGTATTAGCCTTTCTGTGTCTGGCTTATTTCACTTTGCACAATGTCCTCCAGGTTCATCCATGTTGTTGCAAATGGCAGGATTTCCTTCTTTTTTATGGCTGTGTGATATTCCATTGTGTGTGTATGTATACACATACATAGTATATACATATAGACATACATTATAATCATATTAAATATAAATATACACAAAAACATTTTCATTAGAGGCAACTCTTTTAAAGAGAGTTTTTACATGGCTTAAAACTAACCACGAGATAGCCTGTTAATCACATTACATGACTGAGAGCTAAGGAACATTCTTTGAGCTTTTAATTTATATCTTTTTGATAACTAAAATTTTGAACATCAGTACATATTTTTAAAGAAATAGTTACACTTTGCTTCATTCTGTGACAAATTTGCATATAAATTAAAACAATACAAATCCTCTTAAGTAGCAAAATAGAAAATTAAGACCAAATAAGAAGGAAAATGCAGATGTGTAAATCATTAGAAGGTACCCTGATTGCCAAGGTTAAGTTTCAAATTTGTCTCCTAGCTTCCTGGGGTAGGTACAGGAGAAGACAGAAGAACAATTTGCTTGATTCCTTTCTTACCTGAGATTTAAAAGAAGATGACTTCTATAGGAGAACCGTTATACCAGCTTAATTTTTAAATGACAGAGAAATAAACTTCTACCATATAAACCATAGTTAATGTTGGATCTCTCTTCTAGTAATTGAACCCATAATCTTAAATGAGATAGCCCTTACCACACTGAAATGCGGTCCTTTACTAGATTGAAAGTGTTTTGAGGCCTGGAACCAACTTGTTATTTTTGCTTTTATTTTCAGTGTCTAGGACAGTGCTGAGTATTTAATAAATCTGGTGTGATCTTAAAAGGACTTTCTCATGTGCTTTTTGAAAAGTTTAGTCATAAGATAATTATCCAACCCCACAGTAGTATTTTTGCTTGCAGTACCAAATTGCACCTATTTCTTACAGCAACCTTCAGTAATTGAGAATGTAACACTAAAATGCAAACTTAATATGTTATATAGTCTCCGGTAGTCAGATATAATTAAAATAACTACTTAAATATCTTCTAAAAGCAAAATTAATATTATTTTCCCCCTTTCTCTCCAGAATTTCTACAGACAGTTCAAGGAAATTGCTGCAGTTATTGAAACGGTGTGAAGACGGATTCTTTGGTTGATAAATTGCTATCATTCTAAAGTCATGGACTTCACTTTCGGCAACAAAACTAAATAAGGATGGAACATTTATTGAATGAAAAATGCACTTTTGTTTTTCCATTTTTTTAAATAATAAAAATCAGACAAACAGGAACTGGGTAGTGGTGATGAATGCAAAACTTTGTGAATGTGCTTTATAAAAGTGATAATTAGACACTTTAGAGGATATACTTGGTGATAATGTGAATGATGTAATCAGACTAACAGTTGAATCATTGCTGTTGGAGGCAGCACAAATTTATGTGTTACAACAGTAGTTTAAAAACTTGTACTGGATGGAACCCATTTTATAAACAGTCTTATTTGGAGTCATGTATATAAAAATATATATAAATTAGAAAAGTAGTATTTGATTAGGATAACTTTACAAATTCAATAGTATAGCCATCACTTATTATAATGGCAATCAGAAGAGTGAGGCTTCTTTTTTCAAACTTTTGTAATCAGATTAAGATTGACCATTGCTCCTTTACACAGTATTAGTCTAGCATTCAATTATTTCTGTTATTAATGGTTGTAGAAAGTTCAAATACATACGCAGAGTTGGAAAGACGAGTTTTAGTCTGAGTTCTGTACGACGGAGTTAACCCGTTAGCACAAGTTATTGCATTAGATGATCTCTGTTGAATTTAAATACATAAACCTGTTGTTAAACGCTTTTATACTATAAAGCCACCACATTGTATGGCATTTGTTTAGAAGTAAGCAAATAGACCACCGGAATAGAATAGATGGCCTAGAAATAGATCAAGACATTCTGGTCCGCCATATTAGAAATTTAAACCCTCTTCACACCCTGTCTGCATTTCTGCAGGTCTGTGTGAGTCCACTTTCTTTTTTGTTCCCTGCTAGGTAGCACACAGCTGTGAGGAGCCCAGGACTGCTGCCTGCCGCAGCCCACCTGTGCGCTCAGATTCCTACCAGCTTGATGAGTTAGCTGATGGGCCATTTGTGCATACCAACTACCCACAGACATTTCTATTACCCACCCTCTGGATGCCAGTGCATTAATGATTCTAGAATTAGGAGAAACCAAAGATCCCTTCTCTCTCCCTCCCACAACCAGTGTCGTCGTGTTCCTAGAAATAAGAGTAGAAACCCCTCTATCTGGGTTAAAACAGCAAACCTGCCTTCTGTAACTGTGCATGAGGTTCCTCTGTCTCCCACTTACTTCGGATTAACACCTTCCTCTTTCCCCTTCCCTGTTTGCAGGGTAGCATTTCTAGGTTTAAGGCAATATGCAAAAAGACCCAAAGTTAGGCCCTGGCTCAAACACTGTGGGTAGCAGATTTGAAATAAATTTAAATTGCATGTTTGTCTTTTGAATTTAAAAAGCAAGTTTTAACCTTGCACAGTGGCTCCCTTCTGTAATCCCAGCATTTTGGGAGGCTGAGGTGGGCAGATCACTTGAGGCCAGGAATTCAAGACCAGCTTGGCCAACATGGCAAAACCCCATCTTTACAAAAAATACAAAAATTAGCCAGGTATGATGGCACATACCTATAATCCCAGCTACTCGGGAGGCTGAGGCAAGAGAATTGTTTGAACCCGGGAGGCAGAGGTCACAGTAAGCCAAGATCGCATCATTGCACTCCAGCCTGGGTGACAGAGTGACACTCTCCCCCCCCAAAAAAAAATAAAAATAAAAAGCAAGATTTTTTCATACTGTAGTTTTACACGATTTTTATTACAAATGTCTAGTTTTGCTTTATTAAGCACTTAATCAGCTTTACTGGGCTGGCCTGGGAATTAACCATTGTTAACATTTCTGTGGAAAAGGGTGTTTCAAGTTTCAAACAGTTGACTTAAATGTAAACTTTTAGAAAACAACTCATTCTCAAATTGGAAACTATTAATACGCTTTTAAGTTTTCAAAAGGAAATAGATTGCCCCCACCCTGAATTCATCAAGCAAAACCCAAGTCTTTTCATGTATTCCACTACCAAGACATGTTGACATAAGTATCAGTTTTATATAGAAAGAAGGCAAAATTCACAAGGTACTTAAGCAGAATTGTCTTTTCAAACAATTTCTTTTTTTTTTTTTTTTTTTTTTTTTTTTTTTTTTTTTTTTGAGACGGAGTCTCCCTCTGTCTCCCGGTCTGGAGTGCAGTGGTGTGATCTCAGCTCACTGCAACCTCTGCCTCCCGGGTTCAAGCTATGCTCCAGCCTCAGCCTCCGGAGTAGCTGGGATTACAGTGTGCGCCACTGCGTTTGGCTAATTTTTGTATTTTTAGTAGAGACAGGGTTTCACCATATTGGCCAGGCTGATCTCAAACTCCTGACCTCAGGTGATCCGCCCATCTTGGCCTCCCAAAGTGCTGGGATTACAGGCATGAGCCACTGCACCGGGCCTTTCCAAACAAATTTTTAAAAATCTTTTGTACCTTATGTTTTTTACAACTTCATAAAAGTTTTAAATTTATAGAAAAATTGTGGAAATAGTAGAGCTCCCATATTCTCCATGTCCAGTTTCCCCTATTAACATATTAGTATGGTACATTTGTTATAATTAACAAGCCAATATTGATATATTAGGTTTCTTTAGTTTTTGCCTAATGTCCTTTTTCTGATCTAGGATCCCATCCAGGATACCTCATTACATTTAGTTGTTATGTCTCCTTAAGCTCATCTTGGTTATGACAGTTTCTCAGACTTTCCTTGTTTTTGATGACCTCGAGAGTTTTGAGGAGTACTAGTCAGGTATAATTTAGGGTGCTCCTCAATTGGGTATTGTCTGATGTGTTTCTGGAATTGAATTGTGGGTTTTTGGGAGGAAGATCACAGAGGTAAAATGCCATTTTCTACATGTCATACCAAGAGTACATATAGCAAAGTGATTTATAGTGGTTTATGTTGACCTTGATAATTGACTGAAGTAGTGTTTGTCAAGTTACTCTTTTTCCCCCTTCTTTCCATACTTTACTCTTTGAAAGGAAGGCACTATCTGCTGCCCATACTGAAGGAGTGGGAAGTTATACCCCTCTCTTTTACGGTGGAGCACCTACGTATTTTATTTGAAATTCTTCTGTGAGCAAGGTTTGTCTCTTCTCCCCCATTTATTAATTTATTCAATCATTGATATCAGTATGTACCCATGGATATTTATTTTATACTTGGGGTTATAACTGAATTTTTTTGTTGCTCAAATTATTCCACCTTTTCCATTGGTAGCTCTTTGGGTTGGCTCCTGCGCCCCTTTGACACACTTTTATCAATGTGTGTGTGAGAACACTTTCTTACTTTCTGACACTACAAGACACTTCGTCTTGTATGTTTCCTGCCACAGTCCTAGAATCCCATTACTTTCAGGAGCTCTGGTTGTTTTAATTGAACTATGGTTTTAGAAACCAAGATATGGATGCTAGGTTTGCTCTATATTTTATATTTTGAGAGCATTAAAACGTAGAAGTCACCCGGGTGCAGTAGCTCATGCCTGTAATCTCAATTCTTTGGGAGGCTGAGGTAGGAGGATCGCTAAGCATTTGAGGTTACAGTGAGCTATGATTGTCCAGCCTGGGTGACAGGACAAGACCAAGATACGTTAGACCACAAAGCCAAGCCCTTGTTTGAGGATTGGTAAGAATGATGACCTGGACTCAGTAAATGCTCTCACTTTAGTTTACGATGGAATCACCTAACCAACAGGACAATATTTTGTATATGCCCTGTTTGTATGTATAAGATCAAAGATGCAAGAAAGTGGATATATCTATTTGGTAAGGTAGGCCAGAAGGTTGACAGTTTTACTAACTCATGAGGAGGCAGATATCATCTAAGTTTGAGGAGCCCAGAATTTTGGGCTTGCTGTCTTTCATACTGTTTTGAGCTGGGTGGGACGGATGGGGAGAGGACCCACTCTTACCAGGATATTTTTGAAAATAAAAGTGGACATCATTAATATGCTACAATACAGATACAAATTGGGACTGCCCTGAACAAACCAGGACATATGGTCACCCAATTCTCATCATACTAAGAAATTATTACTTAGCCACAACATCTATGCTCTATTTCCCTTTGCATCGTCAAGCCTGTTGAAGCATTCAATGTAGTGCCCTTAAAGTAGACCAAGTGTTGGCTAGTCACAGCTCATATTAGACTTACTGGTCATGTTCTAAGGAAAAAAAAAATCTTACATTTGAAAGACACCTATATGCATATAAAGCATTCATCATTTAATGTTGTATTGGTCCATTCTTGCACTGCTATAAAGAAATACCTGAGACTGTGTAATTTATGAAGAAAAGAGGTTTAAGTGGCTCACAGTTCTGCAGGCTATGTAGGAAGCATGGCAGCTTCTCCTCGGCTTCTGGGGAGGCCTCAGGAAACTTACAATTATAGTGAGAGGCAAAGAGGAAGCGAGCACTTCACATGGCCGAGAGCAGGAAGAGGAGAGAGAGGTGGTGGAAGGTGCCACACACTTTTAAACAGCCAGATTTCATGAAAACTCACCATCATGAGAACAGCACCAAGAAGGGAAATCTGCCTCCTTGATCCAATCACCTCCCACCAGGCCCCATCTCCAACACTGGGGATTACAATTCAAGATTTGGGTGGGGATACAGATCCAAACCATATCATTCTGCTACAATCCCTCCCAAATCTCAAGTCCTTCTCATATTCCAAAATCCAATCATGTCTTCCTGATAGTTCCTCAAAATCTTAATAACTCATTCCAGCATTAACTCAAAAGTACAGAGTCCAGTGTCTCAGCTGAGACAAGGATAGTCCCTTTCCCCTATCAGCCTGTAAAATCAAAAACAAGTTGGTTACTTCCAAGATGCAATGGAGATATGGGCATTGGGTAAACATTCCTATTCCCACATGGAAAAATTGGCCAAAAGAAAGAGGCTACAGGCCCCATGCAAGTCCAAAACCCATCAGGACAGTCATTAAATCTTAGAGCTCCAAAATAATCTCTTTTGACTCTATGTCTCACATCTAGGGCACACTGATGCAAGAGGTGGGCTCCCAAATCCTTGCACAGCTCCACCCTGTGACTTTGCAGGGTTTAGCCCCTGTGGCTGCTCTCACGGCCTGACATTGAGTGTCTGCATCTTTTCCAGGTGCAGGGTGCAAGCTGCTGGTGGATCTACCATTCTGGGGTCTGGAGGATGGTGGCCTTCATCTCACTCCACTAGGCAGTGCCCCAGTGAGAATTCTGTGTGGTAGCTCCAGCCCCACATTTCCCCTCCACACTACCCTAGTGGAGGTTCTCCATGAGGGCTCTGCCCCTGCAGTAGACTTCTGCCTGTACATCCAGGCTATTCCATACATTCTCTGAAATCTAGGCAGAGGCTCCCAAGCCTCAGCTCTCATAATCTGGGCACCCACAGGCTTAACATGACATGGAAGCTGCCTAGGCTTATGGCTTACACCTTCTGAAGCAGTGGCCTGAACTGTACCTGGGCCCCTTCAACCCACAGCTGGAGCTGAAGACTGGAATGCAAAAAGCAGTGTTTTAAGGCCACACACTACTGGGCTCTGGGCCTGGCCCGGGAAACCATTTTTCCCTCCTAGGTCTTTAGGCCTGTGATGGGAGAGGCTGCCACAAAGTTCTCTGAAATGCCTTCAAAGTGTTTTCCCCCTTGTCTTGGCCATCAGCATTTGTGTTCCTTTTAGTTATGCAAATTTCTGCAGGCTGATTGAATTCCTCCCCTGAATATGGGATTTTCTTTTCCATCACATGGCTTGGCTGCAAATTTTCCAAACTTTTATGCTCTGCTTCCCTTTAAATATAAGTTCCAGTTTCATATCATTTCTTTGCTCACACATATGAACATAGGTACCAGAAGGAGCCAGGCTACTTCTTGAACACTTTGCTGCTTAGAAATTTATTCTGCCAGGTAGGCTAAATCATTCTCAAGTTCAAATTTTCACAGATCCCTAGGGCAGGGGCACAATGCAGCCAGGTGCTTTGCTAATGCATAACAAAACTGACCTTTGCTCCAGTTTCCAGTAAGTTCCTCATCTCATCCAAGACCTCCTCAACCTGGACTTCATTGTCCATATTACTATCACCATTTTGGTTACAACATTTTAACAAATCTCTAGGAAGTTCCAAATTTTCCCTCATCTTCCTGTCTTCTTCTGAGCCTAGCACACTCTTCCAGCTTCTGTCCAGTTCCAAAGCCACTTCCACGTTTTCAGGTATCTTTATAGCAATGCCTCCCTTCTACCAATTTTTTGTATTAGTCCATTCTCACACTACTATAAAGAACTACCTGAGACTTGGTAATTTATAAAGAAGAGGTTTGATTGGTTCATTGTTCCACAGGCTGTACAGAAAGGGTCGCATCATCTCCTCAGTTTCTGGGGAGGCCTCAGGAAACTTACAATCATGGTGGAAGGCAAAAGGGAAGCTGGCACTTCACATAGCCAGGTGCAAGAGGAAGAGAGAGAGGTGGGAAATGCCACACATAAACAACCTGATCTTGTGAGAATCCTATCAGGAGAAAAGCACCAAAGGAGAAAATCCACTCTCAGGATCCAGTCACCTCCCACCAGGCCCCATCTCCAACCCTGAGGATTATAATTTGATATGAGATTTGGGCAGGGACACAGATCCAAACCATATCAAATGTCATGGTACAAATTCATGTAATCAGTAATTTATATCTGAGGATTAACTTTTTTAAAAAAATTGTAATAGACTATTTTTTTAGAGCAGTTTTAGGTTCACCACAAAATTGAGTATAAAGTTCCCATATATTTGCCCTCCTACATCATACACACATGCACAACCCCCCATTACCAATATCCCCTACTGTGTCCAGAATTGGTGGGTTCTTGGTCTGGCTGACTTCAAGAATGAAGCCGTGGACCCCCACTCCGAGTGTTAGTTCTTAAAGGCAGCACATCTGGAGTTGTTTGTTCCTTCCCGTGGGTTCGTTGTCTCGCTGGCTTCAGGAGTGAAGCTACAGACCTTCGTGGTGAGTGTTACAGCTCATAAAGGCCACATGGACTCAAAGAGTGAGCAGCAGCAACATTTATGGCAAAGGGCAAAAGAACAAAGCTTCCACAGCATGGAAGAAAACTCGAGCAGGTTGGCATCGCTAGCTCAGGCAGCCTGCTTTTTTTATTCCTTTATCTGGCCCTACCCACATCCTGCTGATTGGTCCATTTTACAGAAAGCTGATTGGTCTGTTTTACAGAGAGCTGATTGGTCCGTTTTGACAGAGTGCTGATTGGTGCGTTTACAATCCCTGAGCTAGACACAGAGTGTTAATTGGTGCATTTACAATCCTCTAGCTAGACATAAAAGTTCTCCAAGTCCCCACCAGATTAGCTAGATATAGAGTTCTGATTGGTGCAGCCACAAACCCTGAGCTAGACACAGAGTGCTGATTGGTGCATTTACAACCCTCCAGCTAGACATAAAAGTTCTCCAAGTCCCCACCAGATTAGCTAGATACAGAGTGCTAATTGGTGCATCCACAAACCCTGAGCTAGACACAGAGTGCTGATTGGTATGTATACAATCCTCCAGCTAGACATAAAATTCTCCGGTCCCCACCCTACTCAGGATCCCAGCTGGCTTCTCCTAGTGGCTCCCTCCCCGGGCCGTGCCCCCTGAGTCCCGCACCGCGTGCCTGCACTCTTCAGCCCTTGGGTAGTCAGTGGGACCAGGTGCCAGGAGCAGGGGGTGGTGCCCGTTGGGGAGGCTGGGGCTGTCGGGGAGCCCACCGGGGATGGGGGGGCTTGGGAATGGTGGGCTGCAGGTCAGGAGCCCTGCCCTGCGGGGAGGTGGCTGAGGCCTGGCAAGAATTCTAGCATGGCGCGGGCGGGCCAGCAGTGCTGGGGGACCCAGCGCACCCTCCGCAGCTGCTGGCCCGGGTGCTAAACCCCTCACTGCCTGGGGCTGGTGGTGTCGCCCAGCCGCTCCGAGTGTGGGTCCGCGGAGCCCGGGCCCACCTGGAACTTGCACTAGCCCGCAAGCACCACGTGCAGCCCCGGTTCCCGCCCGCATCTCTCACTCCACACCTGCTGGCAAGCAGAGGGAGCTGGCTCCGGCCTTGGCCAGCCCAGACAGGGGCTCCCACAGTGCAGCGGCGGGCTAAAGTGCTCCTCAAATGGGGCCAGAGCAGACATGGAGGCCAAGCAGGCGCAGAGAGTGAGCGAGGGTTGCTAGCACGTTGTCACCTCTCACTACCAAAGTGGTACATTCGTTACAACTGGTGAACCTACATTGACAAATTATTGTCATGCAGAGTCCATAGCTCACATTAGGATTCACTCTTTGTGTTGTATATTCTATGGTTTGAAAAAGTATGTAATGACATGTATCCACCATTAAAGCACACAGAGTAGACTCACTGTCCTAAGAATTTTCTGTGTTCTGCCTAGTCATCACTGGGAGGGCCATAAGCCCCTGGCAACCACTGATCTTTTTCCGGTCTCCATAGTTTCTCATTTTCCAGAATATCATATAGTTGGAATTATACAGCATGCAGCCTTTCCAGATTGGCTTCTTTCACTTAGTAGTTTGTATTTAAGTTTCCTCCATGTCTTTTCATGGCTTGATAGCTTATTTCTTTTTACTGTTGAATAATATTCCACTGTCTGGCTCAGAATTTATTTTTGCTTTCTCAGATCAAGAAAGATGTTTAAAATACCCAACACTGTCCTAGATATTGAAAATAAAAACAAAAATGGCAGGTCTCCAGGCCTCAAACCACTTTAAATCTACTCAAAGATTATAAATCAGGGTGGTAAGTATTCTATTATTTAGCATATGGGTTCAATTTATATAAGAGAGATCTGACATTGATAAGGCTTATACAGTAAGTTTATTTCTCTCTCTTTTGAGACAGGATCTTGCTCTGTTGCCCAGGCTTGAGTGCAGTGATGTGATCTCGGCTCACTGCAACCTCTGCCTCCCAGACTCAAGTGATTTCCCCATTTCAGCCTCCTAAGAAGTTGGGACTACAGGCCTGAACTACCACACCTGGCTTGTTATTATTATTATTATCTGTAGAGATGGGGTTTTGCCATGTTGCCTAGGCTGGTCTCAAACTCCTGAGTTCAAGTGATCCACCCGCCTCGGCCTCCCAACGTCCTGGGATTACAGGCATGAGCCACTGTGCCTGGCTAGTTTATTTCTCTTTCACTGAAGTATCTAAGCTGACATGGTGGCTCTCCTTTGCAAGTCATTGAGGGCTCCCATCCAGTTTCTACATCCAGCCAACCTAATTTTCCAAGCTGTATTCTGTCCACCTCTATAAAATTAGCCTGGGTGTCTTAGTCCATTTTGTGTTGCTATTACAGATTATTTGAGATGAGGTAATTACAGATTATTTGAGATGAGGTAATTGACAAAGAGCAAAGATGTATTTCTTTTTTCTTTTTTTTTTTCTGATGGAGTCTTGCTCTGTCACCCAGGCTGGAGTGCAGTGGCGCGATCGCAGGTCAGCTAATTTTTTTTTGGTATTTTTAGTAGAGATAGAGTTTCGTAGTCTTGATCTCCTGACCTTGTGATATGCCTGCCTCGGCCTCTGAAAGTGCTGGGATTACAGGCATGAGCCACCGCGCCTGGCCGCAAAGGTGTATTTCTTACAGTTCTGGAAGCTGGAAAGTCCAAGGTTGAGGGGCCTGTATTTGGTGAGGGTCTTCTTGATGCATTATCCCATAGTGGCAGAAGGTGGAAGGGTAACAAAACATATGCAAAATTGTGCAGGGTGGGGGAGGGGGAGAGAGAGAGATTGAACTCATCCTTCATCTGATTCCCACTCTCACAATAACTAACCCACTCCCACAATAACAGTATTAGTTCATTCATGAAAGCAGAGCCCTTGGGTCCTAATCACCTTTTATAGGTCCTGCCTCTAGACACTATTGCATTGGGGATTAAGTTTCCAACACATGAACTTTGGGGGACACATTCAAACCATAGCACTGAGTTTCTCTTTCTTGTAGGACCTTGGCAGAAGTGGGAAGAAGCACACCGATGTTCTGACATTTTTTTCTAGCTACTTTTTCTAATGCAGTAATTCTTACCTAGGGTCAGCTCTTAAAAGGGACATTAGGAAGAACATGGGGATGTTTTTGGTTGTTATATTGACTGAGGATTACTACTAGCATTTCATGGGTTACGAGCAAAAATGCTGAACATCCTAAAATGCCCGGGGCATTCTTGAACCACAGAAAATTGTTTTACCCAAAATGCCAATATGACACATATTTAGAAACACTGCCATAGAGCTATAGGCTCTACATACATGTGGTCTAAATTTTAAGGCATCATATGGTGACGGTTTCACCAAATGTTGGGCCAAGCATAAGAGTCGCCAGTGTTAGCTTACGATATGCTCATCACCTGTTGCCTGAGTGCCAATGCCTCTTGTTATAGGTTTTATTACAGTATCATCTTACTTTTAGGTACAAATTATGTATTAGGATATCAGTCCTGCTGCTGTAGTAGTAAACCCAAAATGGTTTAAATAAGACAAATTTATTTCTATATGTCCAGGCTGGCTGCTCTACTTGAAGACATCAGGGGCCTAGTCTTCTGTCTTGTAACTCTACTATTCTCAATGTACAGCTTCCTTAATAGATTCAGGATGATTGCTCCAACTCCTGGATTCATATTCAACTTCTAGTAGAAGTGATGTTCTAGGGCCATTAACCCAGAAGTTTCCCCCATCACTTCTGCTCACATACCATTGTCCAGACCTAGTAACATGGCCATAGCTACCTGCAAGGAAAGCTGGCAGTTTTACCTTAGCAACTCTGTGCCTAAATAAAACTTCCATAATCATAAGAAGGAAAGAACAGATATTGGAGGTGATATGATTTGGCTGTGTCCCCACCCAAATCCCATCTTGAATTCCATAATTCCCATGTGTTGTGGAAGGACCTGGTGGGGATAATTGAATCACGGGGATGGTTTCCCGCATGCTGTTCTCATAGTAGCAAATAAGTCTCATGAGATCTGTTGGTTTTATAAGGGGTTTCCCTTTTCTCATTTTCTCTCTTTCCTGCCATGTAAGATGTGCCTTTCACCTTCTGCCATAATTGTGAGGCCTCCCCAGCCATGTGGAACTGAGTCCATTAAACCTCTTTTTCTTTATAAATTACCCAGTCTAAGGTATGTCTTTGTCAGCAGTGTGAAAATGGACTAACACAGGAGGGCAAATAGTTTCTGCTGTAAGTGTTAAGACAAAGGTATGTAGAGTATTGTATGAGTGTGGAAGAGACTAGTGGGTTGCTAAAGGCTCCCTAGAGGTTCTAGTCCACCCTAAGAGAGAAAAAAAATTAGAAAAAGAAGAAATTATATAATAATAAGATTCTTCTAACTGTATCAATGTTAATCATTTTTAAATGATGTTACATATATTCAGATAGGAATGTAAAATTCATTATTACAAGCCCAAAATAAAAATTGTTTGGCATTACAGTCTTCTTTTTTTCTTTTCTTTTTTTTTTTTGGTCATTCTAAAATTATGTGATAAATATATTCAAAAAGATATTTTGGCATTTCCATAGAGAATTGGCATTGTCAGGCAAATCAAAATATAATTTAAAGGAAAACAAGAAGTTAGATAATACCAATGGTATCTTGTATATTGCTGCAGGGAGTATATATTGGTATAACCACTTGGGAAAATTATTTGGTTTATTTTATAAAGTTGAATTATCTATGTCCTATGACTCACCAATTCCACTGCTTGAAGCTCTTCCCATTTATCTTCAAGAATGTTCATAGCTTCCTGTTCACAACTGCAAAAAACTGACAACAGCCCAAAAGACCATACACAGGAAAACTAAGAAATCGTGGTTTTCACAGTGGAGCACTGTACTGAAGGGAAAATCAGTGAGATAAAAATACACACAACACCATGAGTGAATCTTAGTAATACAATGTATGCAATATATGTGTATGTGAAAACTTACTGAAAAATAAATTAAGGAACTGAAAAACAAAATGGAGAATAGTGGTTACCTCCAAGCTACAAGATGGGAAGAAGTTAGGGGCAGGACAGAAGAGGAGCCCATAGTAGATGTCAATTCCTGGTAATGTGCAAGCCGTCAGGTTGGGTCATAAATTTGTGGTGTTATTAATATCATTAAATAAATCCATAAAATAAAAAGGGGCATAGACCAATGATGTTTAGATGAAAGATGAAAGTGTGCAGCAAGCCAAGGAACATGATTAGATGATTAATCCAGGGTGCAATTCTGTGCTTCTGAAGTTAAAACAAGCAAATAAACATACAACAAAACCTATGAATGTATGCATTTTGCTGATGTAGGTATTATTGAAAAGAACACAGGGCATCAACTAGTCCAATATCTAGAGCTTAACTTTGTAAGTCAAAAAACTCAGTCAGGCTAGCGATCCTTCCTCCAGAGAAATGATTCATCCTGAGCAAATTCAGTGAAGACTGATATATCACTCAAAATTCCTGTTTTCTAATTTACACTGAAAAATTTAATGGCCAAGTGGACTATAATGGTTATGTTATTCATTCATTCAACAAATATTTATTGAACATATCCTATGTGCCAGACACTTTGCTAATCACTTGGGATGCAGCACTGAATAAGAAAATTTTCACAAGGCTTGTAATCTATTTAGAAAGCCAGACATTTAATAACATAATAATAAAAGTCAGCTCATCAGCCTACTAACTTGCTTTACATAATGTAGAGGAGTGGAAAGTGTATCCATTTTGAAGACTGAACAAATTGACTTAGCTATGTGACCTTGGACAGAAGGTCTTCGCCATGCCTGCTTTGCAGCATTTCAACACTGCTGTGGACCAGGACTGCTGAGCTCCCCATTAGTCTCTTTCCAAATGGGACTCTTACTTGTGTTATCTTTACTTTGTCCCTGATCCATCAGTGTGTATTGGTGTGTTAAAATAAAAACTTTAGACAAATTTAACAGTATTTAATGGAGCAAAGAACCATTTGCAAATCGGGCAGTTCGCCTAAACCAGAATAGATACAGAGCGACCCTGGCACTGCCATGTGGTTGGAGAGGATTCATGGACAGAAAAAGGAAAATGACTTACAGAAAACAGAAGTGAGGTACAGAAAACAGAAGTGAGGTACAGAAACAGCTGGACTGCTTACAGCTTGGCGTTTGCCTCATTGGAACATGGTTTGAACAGTTGGTTGCCTTTGATTGGCCAAAACATGGTGATTGGTATAAGAGTGGCTTACAGTCTGTTTACACATCCAGTTTGGTTACCATTCACTATATACGGAGAAACCTTTAGGCTGAACTTAAAATATGTTAAGGAGGTAGCTCTAGGCTACACTTAAATTACAGGTGTGTAATGGGTGGCTAGATAAGTTGACTTTTGGTTCCTAGGTTGCTGTAGTATGTGGATCTACATTTGAATATGATGGTGGCAATGAGCATCAAATGGAGATCCTTCACTTAGATAAAGATGTGGTGTTTTCTATGTGTGGGAAGAGAAGGGTTGTGGATATTTGGAGGCCAGAGTGGCAGCTCCTGGCAGAAATGGCTAGCTATGGCCAGGTGCGGTGGCTCATACCTGTAATCCCAGCACTTCGGGATGCTGAGATGGGAATACTGCTTGAGCCCCAGAGTTTGAGACCATCCTGGGTAACATAGTGAAACTCTGTCTCTACAGAAATTTTTAAAAAATTATCTGGGCATGGTGGTAGGTGCCTGTAGTCCCCAGCTACTTAGGAGGCTGAGGTGAGAGGATCGTTTGAGTCTGGGAAGTCAAAGCTCCAGTAAGCCCTGATCATGCCACTGTACTTGGGTGACAGAGTGAGACCTTGTCTCAAAAAAAAAAAAAAAAAAAGGACATGGCTAGCTATTTTTTCTCAGCTGTAAAAATAGGGAAAACAACTCGTAGGATTGCTGTAAAATTAAATACCATATGTAACATAGTAAACACTGAAAACATGTTAATATTCTTTGAGGAATGCGAATCTGAAGGATGCTCAATGAAGATGAAATCAGAGAATAGGGAATGATGCAAGCCAGATGCAGCCGTCTTCACCAGAAAAATGTATCTGTCCAGCAGGCCCAAGTACATCTGACAGCTGGTCAGTCTAGTCTCTTCCCTTGTAGTGCTTAGTGACACATTGACTAATTCTCAGTCTTTGGCTTTCACTTTTCAATACTAAATACTTGAATCCCCTCTTTCCCCACACAGTCTTTTTTTAGACTTGTTACAGTTTCGATGCCCTGATTTTCTTCCTCTTTGTCTTCCTATGTGGCTCATCTGAGAAGTTTTGATGTGTCTGAGAAAATACACACAGTAGAAAGAGTTAGAAAAGCATTGTAGAAATCAGAACACTTTAAAAATATTAGGAGGAAATAGTAATCCAGGGTAAGTTCAGTGCAGAGAATATGTGTGTATAGGACACTATCATGTACAGTGGTTTAGGTTGGATTGCAAATTGGACTATGAATTTTCTAACGTTAACAACAACAAAACAACAACCTCTGCCACCCATTAGAGACACTGTAAGGTAAAATCACACATTTAGTTCAAGATGAAGCCTAATTTATTCAAGGAAAGAGATCTAAATTTTACCCACGTGTCCTGCCTAACAGAGAAGGTACTATACCATGGGACAGATGTCATCGTGGACAACATCCTGACATCAGTTAAAAGAGAGTTTCTTATCAATGGCTCATAACATGGGTTACAATGTTGTGTCCAAAATAATAACAAATTGTAGTTACAATCAATTATTATAGACTCTTGAATTATAGCCAGGCATGCTGGCCCATGCCTTTCACAGCTACTTAAGTGGCTGAGACAGGAGGATCACTAAAACTCTAAAAATGCCACCCAGAGAGGGAAAAAACTTGCTTTCTAGCACAGACATTCAATCATTTATCAATCATATGCTTAGTGCCTATGCTGTACTACATATTAAGTTGGTGCAAAAGTTATTGCTGTTTTTGCCATTACTTTTAATTAAAAGTAATTTGCCATTATTTGCACCAACCTAATATATGTCAAGAGACAAGGTTAATGAAATGAAGACCATGCCCCTGAGGATCTACCATTTTGTGGTAGTGGCTTTCAAAACTTAGGGCGAGGACAAGTCATCTGGGGAGCAGTATTCCTTATCAGTGAGTACTGGATAAGTGTTTGTAGGTAGGAGTGTGCCAAGCACTGCTTAAGTGCTTTATAAATATTCATTCATTCATTTTATCCTTATAACAATCCTATGAGGTAGGTACTGTTATCTTCATTTTTACAAGTGTGAAAACCAAGGTGCAAAAATGCTAAGTAATGCACCTATGGTCAGAGTTGGATGCTTACCCAGACAGTCTGACTTCAGAAACAGAGATCTTATCTACTAAACTATGTTTATACAAAAGTATATTTCTTAACAACTGAGGAAATATAAAATGCAATCACATGATAAACCTCAGTAGGTGCCAGAGACATCTGTGAGCATACGGAGAAATTAATGTATCTATTACTTAAATCCATGAATTTGAGATCCATGACCCGCCAAACCAACCCTCTTTTAAATCTTAAAGCCCATGACCCAGCAACTATTAAATAGCATTTAAAAAATAGGGTTCATTCAATCCAGTAGGGGGCTTGAAAACAAACAGTGTCCACGCCGAAAACATTTGTAATTAATTGGGGCAGAAATTGTTTTTCATACTGAGTTGGCAAGCACAGTTACGTGAGATAGTAACAATCTTCCTCAGGTGGATATACATTTTTCCACTCCAGAGGGTTTTGAGGTAAGTATAGAAATAGTTAAGAGAATTGAAACCATAGTACTAATACTTTTATGTTAAAAGGAATATGTACATATTTGATATTTAAAGTAGTTTTATAAAATAATTTGTCCTAGTAGAGGGACAGCCTTCTAACTTCAATCTAGGATATGGAATTGAGTAATTGATTTAGACTTGAGAGTCTAAGGTGATAACTTCCTCAACTTATGTATGGTGATGGAACATTTAAGAAAATTTTAGTTTCAGCTTATTTGTATACTTACCCTCTTATGTATATTGAAGTTATTTAAACCCATGGAAGATCTTGTTTGTTAATTCAGATTAAACAGATGAAGTACAGAAAAATAAAATTAGAAAAATTAATTTTAGAAAATTTTAAAATTGTTGAAGCTACTTAACTTTGAAAAAGGAGCTGAATATCATTCAAAGGCTTCTTAGAAATGTCTGACTTACAAATATTTGTAAACTGACCTTAAAAGCTGACAGAGTGGGGTTTTGAAGTAACTTTTATATGTTAAGTACCAATTATTAAAACAAAAATAAACGTTGTAATATCTGTGTACAAAAATTAGCTTCAAGAGAACAAAAAAGCTCATATCAAAATGATACTAGAACTGCAAAGGAAACAACAGAGTGGAAAGGCAACCTGTGAAATGGGAGAAAATAGTTGTAAATCATATATCTGATAAGTGGTTAATATTCAAAATACGTAAGGAGCTTCTTCAAACCAAATTAAAAATGGGGATCAGGCACGGTGGTGCATGCCTGTAGTCTCAGCTACTCGGGAGGCTGAGGCAGGAGGGTCCCTTGAGCCCAGGTGTTTGAGGCTGCAGTGAGCTGTGATCACACCACTGCACTTCAGCCTGAGTCACAGAGTGAGACTCCATCTCTTAAAAAAAAAAAAAAGGCAAAGAAGTTCAACAGACACTTCTCCAAAGAAGACATACAAATGGCCAACAGCTCTCAGAAATGATGCTCAACATCACTAATCATCAGAGAAATGCAAATCAGAACCACAATGAGATATCACCTCTCACCTGTTAGGATGGCTAATGTCAAAATAACAAAAGGTAACAAGTATTGGAGAGGATGTGAAAAAATTGGAAGCCTTGTACACTGTGAGTAGGAATGCAAAATAGTGCAGTTGCTTTGAAAAAACAGTAAGGATGCTCCTCAAAAACTAAAAATAGAAATACCATCTGATTCAGCAATCCCACTTCTGGATATTTAACTAAAATAATTTAAAGTATTAAATGATTATCTCAAAGAGATATTTGCACTATCATGCTTATTGTAGCATTATTCACAATAGCCAAGATGTAGAAACAACCTATATGTCCATTGATGGATGATTGGATTAAAAAAACATGGTCTATATATACAATAAAATATAATCCAGCCTTTAAAAAAGAAGGAAACCCTGCCATGTGTGACAACATGAATGAATTTTGAGGACATTATGCCAACTGAAATAAGCTAGTCTCAGAGGGACAAATACTTCATGATTCTGCTTATATGAAATATCTAAAATGGTCAAATGCACAGAAGCAGAAAGCACAATGGTGGTTGTCAGGGGCTGGAGGGAGATACAAATGGGGAGTTACTATTAATTAATTGTTATTATTATTAATGGGTATAATATTTCAATTGTGCAAAATGATTAAGTTCTAGAGATCTTCTGTACAACATTGTGCCTACAGTTCACAATATTGTATTGTACACTTAAAATTTTAACAGCAGAAATCTCATGTTAAGTGTTCTTACCACAATTTTTTTTTTTTGAGACAGGGTCCCACTCTGTCACCCAGGTTAGAGTGCAGTGGTGCGATCTTGGCTCACTGCAGCCTCGACCTCCCAGGCTCAAGGGATCCTTCTGTCCCAGCATGCTGAGGCTAGGACTATGGGCACGTGCCATCATGCCTGGCTAATTTTTTTATTTTTTTATAGAGACAGGGTCTCTTTGTGTTGCCCAGGCTGGGAGGATTGCATGAACCCAGGAAGCAGAAGTTACAGTAAGCAGAGATCAGGCCATTGCACTCTAGCCTGTGCAACAGAGTGAGACTCTTTCTAAACTAAATAAATAAATAAATAAATAAATAAATAAATAAATAAAAAATAAAGTATTCTTGTACCCTCTTCACACTTTCATTTTCCCCCTTAAATACTGCAGTGTATATTTTCTAAGAACAAGGAACACCTCAACTAACCACAGAATCAATATTGAAATCAGAAAATTAACACTGATGTCACCTAATCTTCAATTCTTATTCAGTTTTTGCCAGTGTCCCAATGATGGCAGCAGCAGCTGTCTGGAGTGGCCGCTGCGAAGATGCTGGCTGCAGCGTGGGAGGTGCAGCTGGGGTTGCACCTCTGTAGGGGGCAGGAGCCCTACCCCTACCAAGTTGGCAAGACTGGAGGCCTGTGCTCCTGGATACAGCTGTAGCCGCCTGGCCACGGCTCTGGACCCAGGCATTCCTGTGCTCTCAGGGGCCTGGGAAGCCCCTGCCCCTGCAGGCTTGGAAGTGCCTGCTCCCACTGTTTGGCCTCTCCCTGCTCCCGGCACCCACTCTGGTGCAGAGCAAAGTTGTGGCCAAGCCTGGGTGCTGTTGCTACCTGGCTGGGTGTGCATGCACTCAGGGCTATGCTAACATGCCAGCCCCCTGCCACCTCCAGACTTTGGATGCCAATGAGTGCAAGAGGGAAGCCAGAAGGGGAGCTGAGGGCAGCTCAGCACAGGCTTGCAGGCACCCTTTGGCATGAACAGCTTGGGCACCTTGGATGGCATGTTGATGGCAGGAGGCAGACAGGTTATTGGTGGGTCCCCAGTGAAACTCCACTTTCAAGCCAGGGATGGCCTGAAGCCTGGGGGACCAGGCTACTAGTTCAGGGTGGAGTTTGCAGCCCAGAGTGACAACTTATGGTGCTTTTCCCAGCCTGCCCGTGGCCGCCCATGAGCCAATCAGTATGCACTTCCTCTCTTCGGAACCCATAAAAACCCCAGAGACTCAGCCAGACTCACACAGACATCAGGACTACCAACTGCCAGAAGGAACTACCCACTTTAGGTCTCCTGGGAGCTGTTCTGTTGCTCAATGAAGCTCCTCTCCACCTTGCTCACCCTACAGCTGTCCCCATACCTCATTCTTCCTGGACTTGGGAAAAGAACTTGAGACTCACTGAATAGTGGGACTGAAAGAGTTATAACATAAACAGGGCTGAAACACACCCCCCAGCCCCCACCGCTTGCCACATTGTGGGTGATGAGAAGGAGACAAGGAGAGAAGAGCTGTGGCCCTTCCGGGATCCCAGACCTAGGGGCTCACCAAGCCAGAGCTGTGACACCCTCTTTGGGTCTCTGCAGTCCCTGCTGTCTCCAAGCTTCTGGATGCCACCACATCCCCCTTGTCCAGATGCGGGTGCCCACAGCAGAAACTGTGTGCAGTGTATCTGGCCCAACTGCAGCCTTGCTTGGAGCCAGCACCTGTGCCAGCATCTGGAGCTGCCTGCCCCAACACAGCAGCTGGCATGCCTGGCTGTGTGCAGTGGCTGGACCCTGCATTTGCTCACCCACACACCCCTTGCTGCTCCACGCCTGGCTCACCCTGGGCAGGTGTGGGATCCAAGCCAGAAGTGTGAGCCGATCATAGCCTGCTGGGCTGAGTGGGTGGAACGGGCCCAGCGGGTGCAAGTAATACTCAGGCAAGAGGCACTGCCAGCCAAAGAAGTTTCCAGCTGGTGAAGTGACACCCCAAGGATTTTGTGACACCAATAATGTGCTTTATTGTAAAAGAAAATCTAAGATGATATGTTACATTCAGGGGGCATGTGTCTTTAACCTTGTTTAATCTGGAACAGTTCCTCCATCTTTCTTTGTCTCTTATAGTACTGGTATTTTTAAAAGAGTTCAGGTCAGTTATTATGTAGAACATATCTCAGTTTAGGTTTGTCTGATATTTCCTCATGGTTAGGTACAGTTATATGTCTTTGGCAGGAATACCACAGAGGTGAGATTGTGTGTTTCTTAGGGCTTTGTATCAGAGAGCCCATAAGGACTTATTTTTTAAAAAGGCATTATTTATTTATTTTGAAAGGAGGACCAGAAATATGAATCTTTCTGTTGCTCTAGGTAACTATGCATTCAAAAAATATTTGCTTTTTGTTTTAAAAAAGTGTTTACAGGGCCTCTTCATCTTTATTTCATCGCAGGTAACTGTTACAGAGTTACTTGAATTACTTGGAGAGTTGTCATGCTAATATTCCATTTGCTCAGAAAGTCTTTGAACTAGAGTGAGAATTATTTTTGCAGTATGGCCACAAATCCACTCAAAAGGATTTTCTTTTTTAAGAAGAAAAGAGACTTCATTCCAGGAAACAGTTTGTAAATGGGGAGACACAGCCTTCTGTACAAAACCAAGGTTTCTTCTGAGGGAACAAAGAGAGGAGTTGCCTTTTATAGAAAAAAGAGAAAGTTCCCACCCAGGTTCCCAGTCTGATCTGCTATGCAAATAAGGGATGCAAACTTGTTCAGTTCTGATTGGTTGATGCTTATTTAGTTCTGATTGGTCAGCACAACTTACAGCCTATTGGTTAATTTCAGAAGACAACATAGGATTTTTCCAGCAGCTGTTGATTCAGTTGAAGTAAAGAGGAACAGATAGCTATGAAAGTCTCAAAGTTACGTGAGCATGTGAGTTTTCTGAGAAAGCAGAGTGTGAATGTGACCTCTAGTCAGCAAATGGCCACTTTGCTCTATTTTGAATTTAGGCCCAGTTACCTATTCAGGATCCATATCAAAGGATTGCCTCTTTCAGGGTTCACAAATAGAAACATTATGAATCATGATTTTCTTACTCTTCTCAAATATTACAGTGGTTTAGAAGACTATTTTCAAGACAAGTCACTTTTGCTTCCATTTAAAAACGTAAAATAGCATATAACTTTTGAGTGGAAAAATATTTTGTTCAAAATATTTCATCATAAATTGAATAATTAAGGCACTGATCCTGACCTCAAGACACAAATCATTCATATTTCAAATATTTTTAAGGATATGGAAATATCAGCATTTTAAGGATATCTCTTGGGCTGGTTGCTCTGTCAGCTGTGAGCCGTGTGCATTTATTCAGCTGTCCTCTATTAGCCAGTTCACACAGGTTACGTTGCAGTTACCAACAACCTCTTTGTTGTTGTGGCTTACAACAACAAAACCTTCAAATTCCAGTTAAATGTCTCTTGCAGGTTAACTCGGGTTCTGCTCCAGCTGTCTTCATTTCAGGACCAGCTGCTATCATGGAATTGTAAGTCTTGTGGCATATGGAAAGGAGAAGTGGTAAATCCACTCAGTGGCTCTTAAAATTTTTGGGGAAGTGAAGACATCACTTCCACTCACATTCCATCAGACAGGAAGTTATATTGCTAAGCTGAACAATAATGGGACAGGAAAATATACAACTCCTGCAGAGAGAAGAAAATATTTTTTAACAATAATACAGTTTACTCCAAATTGCCTCTACCCACAGCAACTTCCGAGTTTCAGTATATTGGGCATCGTTGCTAGTTCTGTAACTTCCAAGTCTCATTCTTGGTGTTTCAGAACTTGTGAGCTACCCAATAACTATAAATTTCTTTTTTGCCTAAATTGGTCAGAGTTTGTTTCTGTTGCTTGCAACTCAGAACCCTGTCTGATACAGAAAGTGAGGCCTGGGCCAGGCGCAGTGACTCATACCTGTAAACCCAGCCTTTCTCAGGCCAAGGAAGAAGGAGGATCACTTGAGCACAGGATTTCAAGATCAGCCTGGGCAACACAGAGAGATTCTTGTCTCTAAAAAAAAGAAAAAAAAAGAGAGAAAGAGGCCGGGCACGGTGGCTCACACCTGTAATCCCAGCACTTTGGGAGGCCGAGGCGGGCAGATCACGAGGTCAGGAGATAGAGACCATCCTGGCTAACACCGTGAAACCCGTCTCTACTAAAAATACCAAAAACAAAATTAGCCAGGTGTGGTGGCGGGCGCCTATAGTCCCAGCTACTCATGAGGCTGAGGTGGGAGAATGGCGTGAACCCGGGAGGTGGAGCTTGCAGAGAGCCTAGATAGAGCCATTGCACTCCAGCCTGGGCAACAGAGCGAGACTCCGTCTCAAAAAAAAAAAAAAAAAAAAAGAAAGAAAGAAAAAAGTGAATTGAGGCCTGTTGTCTCTTGTTCGTAATTAATGGAACATGAACAATATTCTGAGAATGAGAGGAGGAGCGAGGTTGAATTGAGAGCTTGTAGAAAGTGGTAAATGTTTTGAATAGCTGCTTAGGAGAAATGGGAAAGGTAATTAACAGGTGGGTGCAAAAGGAAGGACAGCATTATTAAGGGCCCTGCTGAAGCTAACAACCATAGATTTGATGAGGAAAGTGGCTAATTATGCATCCCCTAGAAAACTGTGATGTTATTTATTTTGACAAAGAGAGTCAGTTGTTTAAAAGGAAATTCCAGAAGTTAAAAACTTGGATGTATCAGCAGAGTGAAATCAGCATCTATAAAATCAATGACTTTGGCAATAGTCATAAGAGTGAATGAGATAGGAGAATTATTTAATGCCTCAGGTTGCTTTTCTGGGGTGGATATGATGAAAGCTAGGTTTTAATGCAATTGTTCCAAACTTAACTTTTTTTTTTTTTTTTGAGATGGAGTCTCGCTCTGTCACCCAGGCTGGGGTGCAGCGGCACAATCTCATCTCACTGCAAACTCCGCCTCCCGGGTCCAAGTGATTCTCCTGCCTCAGCCTCCCCAGTAGCTGGGATTACAGGTGCACGCCATTATGCCCAGCTAATTTTTGTATTTTTAGTAGAGACAGGGTTTCTCCATGTTGGCCAGGCTGGTCTTGAACTCCTGACTTCGCGATCCACCTGCCTCGGGCTCCCAAAGTTCTGGTATTACAGGCGTGAGCCACCGCGCCTGGCCTAAACTTAACCTCTTAAATATGAAAAGCTTGTCAGCCCAACAGAACTTGCAAGTTGCATTGCCATCTTACATTGAAACAACTTTATTTCAGAGGTGATCTGATGGTGTGATTATGCAAGGGAAAATTTATAGATCTGCAGGCATGGTTCAGTATTTGGTGATCACTGAGAACATTGACACATTAGTAGAAATTACTTTAACATTTTCCCCAATATTTCTCAGTTAACTCTTTCTGGATAGATATCTGAAATCAGCAGTAATTCTGTATTACTCAGATTTTATATTGTGGGCAAGAGATGGCACTATATACCTTGAAGTGGAGGTACAGCATCTATTAATTTCCATAGATGCAGATATTTCAGACAGAGCAAAATTAAAATCTCTTTGAGACTTCTAATTTCTCCATATGATCAGAATAATGAGCTTTCACAATGGGACATGGTGCCAATGGGTCAGCACAGAATTACTGGGATATAATACACTAGAATGCTATTAGGATTCATCACATAAATTTGAACATATCCTAACTAAAATCGTAGCCCCTCTCATATAACTTTATATCCTAAAACCCTATTGTAAGTTATTTGGAGAAATGGTTGATTCTAGGACTAGGGCAGGCAAAATACAAGATGAACCTAGAACATCTCATAATGCCAAAAAGCAAGGAAATGCTAAAAAGAAGAGAAAGAAAGTGGGGCATGTGAAAGGACACAGGAGTCAACTCGAAGGACCTCTTGATTGCCAAAGCTGAAACAATTTGAACAACAAAATAAGTAACACGGTATTGGGTTACAACCCAAGTATGAAATAAATATTTATTAACCCACATGATATAAATAAATGATTGAATAAAGTAATCATTTGGGGAGAAGGGGCAAATCTTCCTTACAGAATATTTCCAAATATTACATATGTATATACTCTTCCTCCACCTGGAGGTAGGGAGAGCTTATTCCCCATCCTCCACCTCTGAGTGTGGGCTAGACTTAGTGATTCAATTCCAAGGAATAAGGCATAAAAAAGGAAAAAAAAATAGTCACTTTAGAGCAGAGAAACCTAGCAAACACTATTTTAACCAGGTGGTCAAGTTTGGTATCATAGGTGATAAATCATGTTAGTATCATAAATCCCCTGATATGATGTGATGAAAAGAAACCAGGACTCTGGAGAAATGATGGATTCAGAGTCTAGGGCAGGAAACGTAAAGAAGAATATACTGTGAAATCCATTATCATGGAAGAAATCAAACTGCCCAAAGGTGGGATAATTTGAACACCAGTGATATGGTTTGGCTGTGTCCCCACCCAAATCTCACCTTGAACTGTAGCTCCCATGATCCCCTTGTGTCATGCAGGGACCTGGTGGGAGGTAACAAATCATGGGGGTGGTTCTTTCCCATGCTGTTCTCAAAATAGTGAATAAGTCTCAGGAGATCTGATGGTTTTATAAAGGGTACTTCCCCTACACAAGCTCTCCTCCCTGCTGCCATGTAAGACATCCCTTTGCACTTCCTTCATCTTCTGCCATGATTGTGAGGCCTCTCCAGCCATGTGGAACTCTGAGTTCATTAAACTTGTTTCCTTTATAAGTTATCCAGTCTTGGGTATGTCCTTATTAGCAGCACGAGAATGGACTAATATAGCCAGTAAGGATAACAACTTCAATAAATTGAAATATATCAAATATATTTAAATCTGGAATTTGTAACAACCAACTATAACATTTGCTATTAAGGAAGTATTATTAACATTTTTAGGTATGAGAATGATGATTATGAGAATAATGAATGAGAATAATGACTCTTTAAAAAGAGTCACTAGCTTCCATATTCAGGAATTTTGAAATATTTATGAATAAAATATGATATCTGGAATTTAATTTACAATGATACAGGAGAGAAGGGAAGTCAGTAGAGGGTAACTTACGTCACTGGCCATAAGTTGGTTGATGAATTCATAAAGTTGATTATATGAGTCTGTCTAATTATATGTATGTTTAAATTTTCCATAATGATAATAAAATTTTGCAAGTCCTAATGAATTAATGGATCAAGGAAATGATTTTCGATGTTGAGAGACAGAGAGACAGTATGTTTCTTCTGTAAAGTACACAACATTGCCTATTAAGTGATTTTGTTGTAATAACCAAAACAAAATCAAACAAAAAACAAATACAAATGAAAACCAAAAAAAATTCTACCTTCAATCCTATCAGGATTCTAGCTCTTTGCTTTCTAATGCTATAGCCACTAGTTATCTGTGGCTATTTAAATGTATATAAATGAATTACAATGGAATAAAATTAAAAATTCAGTTCCTCAGCTTCACAGGTAACATTTCCATGGCCACATAGACAGTGTATTGGATAGTGTATAAAACAAGTCCATCATGGCAGAACATTCTATTGGACAGGGCTTAGGCACTTTCCAGGACATATAAGGACAGAAGGATGTATTAAATGACACCACCAAGAGGTAATTACCAAAATCTTGACCATAAGAAACACTATATGATAAACAAGCCAGTTTCTAAAATTCTTTTTAATGCAAAACAAAAGATATGACGGGGGAATCAATAGATTAAAAGAGAATTAAGAGGGGCTGGGCATGGTGGCTCATGCTTGTAATCCCAGCACTTTGGGAGGCAGGGGCTGGTGGATCACATAAGGTCAGGAGTTCAAGATCAGCCTGGCTTATATGGCGAAACCCCATCTCTACTAAAAATACAGAAATTTGCTGGGCTTGGTGGCGCATGTCTGTAATCCCAACTACTCGGTGGGCTGAGTCACAAGAATCGCTTGAACGTGGGAGGCGGTGGTTGCAGTGAGCCGAGATCATGCCACTGCACTTCAGCCTGGGCAACAGAGTAGAGACACTGTCTCAAAAAGAAATAAAAATAAAATAAAGTGGAAAGTCAGCAATTTAAAAAAAAAGAATTAAGAGATATATCCACCTATTGCAATGCATGGAATTTAAATTCTGACTCAAGTATACTGTAAAAGAAATTGTACAGCAATTAGAGAAATGTGAACACTAGCTGGAAATTTATGATATTAAGTTGTATTTTTAGGAAAAACAATATTAAATTGTATTTTTAGGAATGACAATTATAGTTTTAAAATCATTACAGCTGAAATGAAGGATATGAGGAATACAGTTTGCTTAAAAATAATTGGGGAGAGGTGAACGTGGTTGGAGGTGTAGGTGAAAGATTAGCCATTTATTAATAATCGTTAGAGCTGGGTAATGAGCTCGTCATACTATTCTTTTGTGTGTGTGTGTGAAAAATTTCCATAATAAATATTTTAAAATCCTAATAATTTAGCATGTATTATGAAAAATTAAAACACATTAACCTCTGTAGTTTACAAATGTATTTGTTCATATTCCAATATGGGAAATGAAGATCTATCATAGAGCAATTTTTATCATGCAGCTGGGCTAAATCATACACATTGCCATAATTAAAGTGTATTTTGAGCCAGACGATGTACTTTTTCTATTTTGAATAGTGATACATAAACTGGTTAGCAGCTTGCTCCATAATTACGCTGGCAGTGAAAGATGCTTATTTGATTCTACCAAATTTCCAAAAGTAGCTTTGCAGTCAGCTCATTGGGAAATACTAATTTGGCTAAAATCTTACATTTTTTTTTAAATTGAGTGAAAGGTGGGACAGAGGAATGTGTTAAGATGAACATAATACATAATCTATACATGAAAAAAAAAGCCCCGTAGCCATGGTGTACAGTTGAAGGCAGGAATTCTTGCTCGACTATGTGTGAAACATAAATAAAGCTGCAAAATAATAAAATAAAGTGGTCATCTTTTAAAAATATCTTCTTACACATTTTATGCGCATTGTTAAAAGGTCAAACAATATCACTTAATAAATAAATAAGTGATTTCCTTCAACCTCAGTTTAAGTGGTCCCACAGCTAGTGGTCAGCAAAAAAATATTTTGCTAGGTCTCCACAATTTTGTGATTATTACTTTGAGATTCCCTCAAAAAAAATTGAAAGACCCGGAAATACTGGGCCTACATGCTCCAGTTCCAACAATTGGCTGCAGCTGAATAGTAACTGCTCCTTTAAGATGGGGTTTGAATTCCATCCACATGCATGCGTGTGTGCACACACAGACATACATACAATAAATGCCTTCCCACTTAGAGCAGCCAGCTTCTTTCAGTGTCTTTTTCCAATAGGCATTTGAATTTGGGACCCCTCTTCTACTCAATATAATGAGTGAAGTACTTTGTTCATATCTTTATAAGTCTCATCTATTAGGAAATCTCAGTCATTTCAAACTTGATTACTGTTAAGTGTACCTTAATAATATAAAGAATCATGTCCATGGTCTATATACTTCACCTTAATTCTGCCATATGTTAATGTTATAATTAATACATACGATTTTGATAGAAATAATCTTTGTCTATTTCATTTGTTCTCTTTCTTTTCTTTTATTGGTAAAGTTTGTATTTCTGCTTGAATGGCTCCTTATATACTAATACCTTCATATAATACCCTTAGTAATTCTCTGTTTGTTCTCTACTATGAGAAATATTGATGTTTGCTAATAACCTCTTCTTGCTTCCTGTTCTTCTACTCCCCAAGCATCTGATTTGAAGTAATATCCTTGTATTTCCAGGTAATAACTGTAAGGCAGTCAGCTAGCTTATTTTCCTCTTGTTTTATTTTTTATTTTAATTTAATTTTTTTTTTTTGAGACAGAGTCTCGCTCTGTCACCCAGGCTGGAGTGCAGTGACGTGATCTCGGCTCACTGCAACCTCTGCTTCCTGGGTTCAAGTGATTCTCCTGCCTCAACCTCCTGAGTAGCTGGGGTTACAGGCGCCTGCCACCACGCCCGCTAATTTTTTGTATTTTCAGTAGAGAAAACTCTATTTTTGGTCTCGAACCCCTGACCTCAGATGATCCACCCTTCTCGGACTCCCAAAGTGTTGGGATTACAGACGTGAGCCACCGCGACTGACATCTACTTTTTATATGTCCTTGATATGTCCTTCCCATTTCCCCATTTCCCACTCCTTCTTATTTTTGTCTTTTTCTTTGTTTTTTAGAGACATAGTCCCATAGTATCTATTCACAGGTGCCATCCTGGCACACTACAGCGTGAAACTCCAGGGCTCAACTGATCCTCCTGCACCAGCCTCCCTTGCAGCTGGGACTACAGACACATGCCACTGTGCCCCAGCTCCTAATTTTGGAAGTTGGACTCCCTTCATTATCAGAGCATATGGCAAATTACATATTATACTCTCCTTTATATCTATTGTTTAGAGTCCGAGTTCCACAGGTCAATAGATATTTTGGCTCACTATCATCCCAATATTGATGTTTCTCTACTCATTTTGGTTGCTAGAAGCTCATTCTCCAGAAGATACTGCGGAAAGGGACATGGAAACTATTCCTTAAGTTCATGAATGCTCATAACTGTCTATGATCCTTGACGGTTTGCATGGACATAAAACCCTTTGGTCAGATTTTCTTTCCTTAAGTGTCCTAAATATGTTGCTCTATTATCTTCAAGCATAAAAGGTTACTGTAAAAAGATCTGATAACAATTTATCATTTCCCTTATATGTCATTTGGGCTTTGTCTGGATATAAATAGAATCTTTTAAAATCTTTCTTTCATGGGAACAATTGACACTGGGGATTCCAAAAGGAGGGAGAGAAGGAGGGAGGGGAGTAAGCGAGGGCTGAAAAGCTTCCTATTGGGTACTGTACCCCCTGCATGTAAAATAAGCATATAAATTAAAAAATCTAATCTTTCTTTAAAATTCAATGGTTTTACTAGACTATATCTTAGTGTTGGCCATTTTGAGTCAATTTCTCTAGGTACATGATGTGCTTTGCAATATGTATTTTCTTTTCTTTTTTCTTTTTTTAGTGAGACAGGGTCTTGTTCTATTGCCCAGGCTGGAGTGCAGTGGTGTGATCATAGCTCACTGTAACCTCAAAGCCCAGGGCTCAAAGGATCTTCCTGCCTCAGCCTCCAGAGTAGCTAGTACTACAGATGGGCACCACCACACCCAGCTAATTTTTTTTTTTTTGGTAGAGAGGGGGTTCTCGCAGTGCTGCCCAGGCTGGTCTTGCACTCCTATCCTCAAGTGATCCTCCTGCCTCAGACTACCAAAGTGCTGGGATTATAGGATAAGCCACTGTGCCCAGCCACAAAATTTATTTTTCAAGTATCTTTTTATTTTAGGAAGATTTTCTTGAATGATAGGTTCCTAACATTTCTTCTGTTCCATTGCTTTGGTTTTCTTCCTTGGGTACACTTCTAGTATAAATATGTAGGTTCTTTGATTATCCTCTGTATCTGACACTTTCTCTCAAATCCTTTTCATTTCTTCATTTCTTTTCATTAATATTCTCCTCCTTCTTTTGATCTTCTATTTCTTTGTTTTTTGTTTTTGTTTTTGTTTTTGTTTTGAGATGGAGTTTCGCTCTTGTTGCCCAGGCTGGAGTACAATGGCGTGATCTCTGGCTCACCACAGCCTCCACCTCCCGGGTTCAAGTGATTCTCCTGCCTCAGACTCCCGAGTAGCTGGGATTACAGGCATGTGCCACCACACCTGGCTAATTCTGCATTTTTTTAGTAGAGACGGGGTTCCTCCATGTTGGTCAGGGTGGTCTCGAACTCCCAACTCAGGTGATCCACCAGCCTCGGCCTCCCAAAGTGCTGGGATTAGACGTGAGCCACTGCACCGGGCCCTTTTGTTTGCTTTTTAAGAGATGAGGCCTCACTGTTAATTTTCTGTTTTTATTGAGACCTTTTTTGTTTGTTTGTTTGTTTGAGACAGGGTCTCACTCTGTCACCCAGGCTGGAGTGCAGTGGTGCCATCATGGCTCACCGCAGCCTCGACCTTCTGGGCTCAGGTGATCCTTCCATCTCAGCCTCCCAAGTAGTTGGGACTACAGGCGTCCACCACCACACCTGGCTACTTCTTGTATCTTTTGTGGAGACGAAGTTTGGCCATGTTGCCCAGACTGGTCTTGAACACCTGGGCTCCAGCGATCCTCTCGCCTCACCCTCCCAAAGTGCTAGGATTACAGGTGTGAGCCACTGTGCCTGGCCTATTTGTTGTTTTTATTTGCTCTTGTGTGCCTAGTTTATGCTTCCTTAAAATTTTTTAACCTTATGTCCTTTCTCAGTTTTCCCTACACAAACTTTGTGTTTTAATAAATAAAGTACGTATACATATAAGGAAAACTTCTAGGTTCAAATAGGTAATAGTGAAGTTACTAATGCTAAAATGAATGCTTGCCATGCATATTAAATCAAAAGAGCAGAGACTTCGAGGCACCTAAAACTCTCTAAACTTGGTACCTGGAGGTGGAAAACCATTTTCTATTTTCTTTTACCTTGTGCTGCAAAACCAAGTGAGAACTGTGTTACTCCTTGAATTGGAGGCATGTTCCTGGTTGTTTAATTGAATCTTTCTAAGTTAGTATTTAAAACAGAGACAATAGCTATGGAAGAGTTATTTCATTTACAAATATAGAACAATATCAGAACATTAAAGAGGAGGTTACATGGAAAATCTTGTTACTTTCAAATATCAGATGCTTTCATATTATAGTAGTACAGCAGTGGAATGAACTCCGCCTCCCAAAGGCTTCATTCAAAAACTTTCTGTTTGTGTTTACATCAAACCTCACTGTACTTCTGGCTTCATTCCTGAGCTATGAAATCCACTTGGCATTTTAGGTTATCGGAAACATTTATTTCGTGGTTTCCATCAATTTCAACATTGCCGGCTATTTACTCAGAAAGACATTCCTTTCCTCTGTCAGCCACTCGGGAAAGTGGAGGGATTTAAGTCCTTGGGAGGCTAGAGCAGGAAGTTAAGGGCAGACTTCCATTGCCTTTGCTTCTCTCCCCAAAGATGACTGGAGTGCTACAAGGGGCTGAGTGGAAAATAAAGTAGGCCTACTCCATACCTTAGTTAGCCTGGGCTGCTATAACAAAAATACCATGCACTGGATGACTTAAACAATAATTTATTTCTCACAATTCTGGTGGCTGGAAATCCAAGATCAAAGTGCCAAGAGATCTAGTGTCTGGTGTGGGTTTGCTTCCTGGCTTGAAGACAGCTGTCTTCTCCCGGCATCCTCAAATGGCCAAGAAAGAGAGAGGAAGCAAGCTCTACCGTGTCTCTTCTTGTAAGGGCACTAATCCCACCACAAGGTCCCCCCCATCATGATTTAGTTACCTCCTCAAGACCTGCCTCCAAATATACTCACACTGGGGATTAGGACTTTAACTCATGAATTTGGGAGAGACACTAACATTGAATCCACAGCGCCTCACCTCTTACAACTTATTTTCAGTTTGCTCCTTTAAAGGTTGGTGAGTGCCTTGATGGTAGGGTATGTACATAGTAAGGAAGATCTCAGAATTGTAATGAGTTACAAGAAATGTTTTCAAGGTGGAGTGATGAAACATTGTCCAGGTAAGGAGGCAGAATTGTCCGAGGTCATGGACTCCCAGGGAGCTATCAGTATATACCCCATCTTGTGGAGCAATGTGAAGAAAACAAAGGAGAGAACAAGTATTGAAGTTTGTGCCCTACAGGGACAGGAAAAGATGCTAGGTGATCATGAGTTAATCTGATTCAGCTCTGAGGCCCAGCATAGGAACCATCCCTGGGCAACCCCTTTACCTGCCACTGTACATTCTGTGGAGGCTGGCAGCTGCTTCAAAGAGCTCTTCTCTGAAGCATCCTTTAAGGACACGAGATTATTTCGTAAGCCTTTTTCATTCTTCTCAGTCCTCTCAATCTACCATCCCTCCTTTATTTCCCTCAGATGGCTTCATTTTTCATTTCACAAGGAAAACAGAAGGCATCCCATGAAACTTTCTCAAGTTCTGGGCACCACACTTAACCAAATTACCTGTATCCTTACTGATTTCCTCCTTTTTGACTTTCTGATGGAAGAGATACCCTGCCTCTGGTCCATAGATAATTCCTTTACCTGGTTTCTGGAGTGAATGCCGTCTTGCCTTCTCAAGAAATCCACTCATTTATTTAATATTACTTATTAAGCATCTCCTTTTCATAGGGACCATGCTCCACTGAGTGACTAATCCCTTTCTCTTTTGTAGATTCAGCTCATCTCCCTTCACTGGTTCCTTAGCACTTAATCATGCCTGATGCTATCTCTCAGTTAAAAACCAACAAAACCAAAACACAAAAAAAATTCCACCTTCCACCCTTAACCCTTCTTCAGCTGTTGGCTTATCTTTCTTCTTTTCTTTAAAGCCAAGCATCTCTAAAACTTTATGTATGCTTAGTATTTTCATGTCACCATCTCTCAGTCATTTTACAGCCCACAGTAGTCTATCTTTTGCTCCCATTGTTCTCACTGAATTTGCTTTCACTGCGGTCACCAACAACCTACGTGTGACTAAATTGAATGGAACCATTTTGGTCTTCATCTTACTTGATCTTGATCTGGATGCAGCATTTTAAAATGTGGACCACTTCTTTTTTTCACTTGGTTTTTATGATGTCACATTACTCCTATGTTTCTGGTTCATCTAGCTCAGTTGTTTTGGCAAGCTGCATTTTTGTCTGTGTTTCTCTAAGTATTGGTGTTCCTTGGGGTTTCCTACACACTCTTTCCTTCGTTGTTAGCACTCTTTCTGGTTGATGCCATCAGTTCCTAACACTGTAATTATCATATAAGGGACATGCTTGGTATTGTATTTAGAAATGAAGTTGTTGGAATTGCAAAGATTGTCTTGTTTAAATAGGTCTACAGGGACAAAGCCAAAGCAAAATATACTATGAACTCTGATTAATAATCTATTTCATACCAATTAAATATTAGTGGAGTGAAGGAACAAAGTTACTAAGTTTATAGTTAGTGTCTTTGTCATCACAATGCTGGATATACATTACAATTTAGATGGGTAAAGTCCATTCCTACAGCAAAGATTCTAACAGATACAATTTTTTGTAACATTGACATCCTGCATAAATACATAATCATAACAAACATGAAAAACAAACTTTACATTATCTCTCGATTCTCGTGCCTCAGCCTCCCGAGTAGCTGGGATTACAGGTGCCCACCACCACACCTGGCTAATTTTTGTATTTTTAGAAGAGATGGGGTTTAGCCATGTTGGCCAGGCTGGTCTCGAACTCCTGACCTCAAGTGATCCACCCGCCTCGGCCTCCCAAAGTGATGGGATTACAGGGATGAGCCACTGCACCTTGCCCAGTATTTCATATTTAAATTAATAAGACACAGAACTGGTATATATAAATTGAACATAGCCTTCTCCCCATCTAGTTAGTACTAAGTATTATTTATGCATTTATGGTATCTGATTTGCAAATACTACTAAATCCCCTTTACCTTAAAACCTATACTAATTATTCTCCATTTGCTCATCCAGATAGCTTCTCTGCCCTTTTCTCCCTTGCCTTATGCCCTGGGACAGTGTCCTCTGAGGACTGTATGCTGGAGGGATACCAGGAGGAGATGGAAAACAAGAGCATAGGTCAGGGCATGCCTCCTCTGTCCCCTTCCTGTTCAGTGCTGTATCACTGGCATTAGCTGTGACCTTTCCCAACTACAGGTTCTGTGGGGCAGTGACTCCCACTGGGTTCCAACAAGGTTTCCTACTCTTGGCTTTTTAGTCCTAGGGCCAGTGGTTTCCCACTGTTGTAAGTCTCCCAGCACCTCAATATTCCCTGTTTGTCTCATCAGTTCTGCCCATACCTTTGTTAAGAGTTATTTCATTAAAGTTTTAATTTTAACTCACTTAGGGTAAATTTTTTCCTTCTGAGAACCTGACTGATATAACAATTTTGAAAACTAGCCCAGTGCTTTGCATTCTCAAAAGCACTTGTGCCAACAATTTTCTGCTTCTATTAAGGATTCTCATTAAATAACACCATGATATGGGAGAGGGGGGGTCCCAAGATTTCACCTACATTTCAACCAAGGCTGAAAGTTTGGAATTTTAATTTTGTATTTTTACTATATGTTAATAGCTCTCAATTTGTATCTCTAGCCCAGATCTATCTTCTAAATTTCAGAACTATATGTTCAACTCCTCTGATTTCTTTGCTCTGATTTTCCACAGATACTAAAAATTCCAATGCAATGCCTAATTCTTCTATGCCTTTTAAGCAACTTTCTCAGACTGCTCCCTGTCTGTATAAAGTTAGGAGCTCAGAAATGTCTTTTGTAAAAAAGTTTTCAGAGACAGCATCTTGCTCTGTTGCGCAAGCTGAGTGCAGTCACATGATCGTGACTCACCACAGCCTCAAACTTCTGGGCTCCAGCAGTCCTCTTGTCTCAGCCTCCAAAGTAGGTAGTACTGCAGGCGGGTGCCACTACACCTGAATGTTTATTTTTGTACAGATAGCAGTCTCGCTATGTTGCTCAGGCTGGTCTCATACTCCTGGCCTCAAGCGATCCTCCCACCTTGGCCTCCCAAAGTGCTAGAATTACAAGTGTGAGTCACCTTCTCTGGCCCAGAAATCTCTTTACAATCTGAATATTCATGGTCTTTGTTAGTCCCGGGTGGCCATACTTTTGCTGACTCAATTCCTTTAAGAATCTGGGGGGCTTTCTGTATATCAGACTAGAGTTCACTCCATGCTCCAGAAGCCAAACCCACCATTAGTTTCAAGACAGGCTTTTCTTCTTTAGGTTTACTTACTGCAAGTTTGAGATTAGGCTTCCATGCGACTACATCTTTAAGCTTTCAGGAAGTCATTTGGTTCAGCAATGGAAGCACCAACTTAATTCTCTAGAAACTTTAAAATGTGTCTTACAGCCATACTTTGATTTGATCTTTATCCTTAAGCTATTTTTTAAATTTTGAGTATCTTTTATTTGCTTGAGAAGTTGAGAATAAGAGATAGTTTATTTTCCAGACGGACAAATTTTAAACCTTTATAATTCTCTAAATTCAGCTAGCAAATTGGCCAGGTGTTTAACGAGTCCATCTCTTTCTTAAAGTGCCTTACTATACACAGCCAGTATAAACCAGCTGACACTCTCAATCTTCTGCTTGGAAACACTCTCACTCAAATCCAAAAGTCCATCAAGTTATTGAGTGAACTATTTTTCCAGTTCCTGCAGGTGATTCTTATACCACTCCATGACATGGGGTTTTTCTGCTTCTATAGCAGTGTCTTCATGACTTTTTCCAGTTTCCTGCAATAGTTTTCTTGCTCTTTTTTCCAGCCTCCACTAACAGTTTCCTTTCCATCTGCCACATAATCTTGGAATCAATGTCACATATTGTAGAATGTTGTTATGGCGCCATCCCAGTTCTATACACTGTATAATGTTGTAGCTGCCTTTCACTTGTCTGTGTCTCTTACTGGACAAGTTCCATGAGAATGGCAAGGATGTTTCCAGTCCCTGGACCATAGTAGGTATTCAATAAATATTACTTAATAAGTAAATAAATAAATAAATAAATACGGTGATTCTTCATTCCTAGAGACCTTTTAAAGGTGTCATTGCTTAGTTTTATCTAATCTGTATTACCTTAGTAATGAGTACTCTAGTTCAGCTAGTCTCTTCTTAACTATCCTCTTTAGTATTGTACCTATTAGAGTACAACCTGTATACACACGAATAGTGGCTCTTATTTGAAGCAAAATCGACCCGTCTACGAAATGTAATTCCTAAAAAAGATTCTTAATGTCTGTATGACTCAGTCTTCTCATCTGTAAAATAAGGATAATAGTAGTACTTACACGATTATTGTCAGAATGTTTGGTACAGAGTAAAAAAAACTTAAATGGTGATTATTACTATTTTTTCATGCTTGCATCCAAACAGAACAAACTTGTAACATAAACTGCTTCTAAAAAAATGGGTAGCTGGGGAAAGAAGTGGAAAGGAGACTTACATTTTTTGCTATACATATTTTTTGTAACTTCTGAATAGTATACAATCTGCATATATTACCTACTGAAAACAATGACTGAGCTGGGTATGGTGGCTCATGCCTGTAACCCCAGCGCTTTGGGAGGTTGAGGTGGGTGGATCACTTGAGGTCAGGAGTTTGAGACCAGCCTGGCCGACATGGCGAAACCCCATCTCTACTAAAAGTACAACAATTAGCGGGGTGTGGTGGTGGGTGCCTGTAATCCCAGCGACTCGGGAGCCTGAGGCAGGAGAATCCTTTGAACCTGGGAGGCAGAGATTGCACTGAGCCAAGATCGTGCCACTGCGCTCCAGCCTGGGCAACAGAGGGAGACCCTGTCTCAGAGAAAAAAGAAAGAAAGAAAGAAAAAGAAACAATGCCTGATTAAAAAAGTACTACATCTATGCATGTTCATTTTAATTTCTATTATTAATAGCTTGAATGACATATTTTAAAAACAGCAATAAAGACTTGGAATAATTCATCCATGACAAATTTAAGATAGATTTATTTTTATGTTTTTTTTTAGAGCCCATTAGAAATAGCAATTAAACAAGAAGTATTCTTATGGGGGGAAGATTTTACTGTGGCATTAATCCTGCTTTTAGTTATAAAGGTTTTTATTAGGCTAAAGAGAAAACAGTCAATAATATCAATATAAGTCCACATAATTCTGAACAGCATAAATGTGAGGTTTCACTCAATGGTAAAGTGTATAGTGAGGGAAATGTTTAGTCACTCCACATTAGTACCCTCATACAAATAAACAGTATTTCACAACTTGTGGTTTATCTCACAGGCTTGGCTGGCGTGGAACTCTAGCCTGAAAGCATGCAATAAATAAATGTTTGTTTTAACTTTCTGTTTCCCTTTACACCTCAAATAGGTTTTGTGACAATAGAGTTTTCAGACTGCTCAAGAACTTAAATGTTAACCACACAGACTTCTGAATTATGCAGTAAGATAAAAATGGGTATTGGTAAAATCACACCAGCCTATAGTGGGAAAAAATAATCACTTCCTCTGTAGAAATGTTTAACTTCTGAAACTAACTGATCTGTTATTTGACGTTCAAGAGAGCTCTAAATGAATTCATTGACCAGGCACTTATTAATCACTGTCTCTGTGCCAAGCATTGTATATTTGATTAGCAATCAGTCCTGTATTCCATTCATTCTCTGCAATGTTCCTTTTTTTTTTTTCTCTTTTGAGATGATCTGGCTCTGTCACCCAGTCTGGAGTGCGGTGGCATGATCTCGGCTCACTGCAACCTCCGCCTCCTGGACTCAAGCCATCCTCCCACCTCAGTCTCTCAAGTAGCTGGGACTGCAGGCACACGCCACCACGCCCAGCTAATTTGTGTATTTTTTAGTAGAGACAGGGTTTCGCCACGTTGCCCAGGCTGGTCTGTAACTCCTGAGCTCAAGCCAGCTACCCATCTCGGCCTCCCAACGTGCTGGGAATACAGGCGTGAGCCCCTACCCCTGACCAATGTTACTTTCTTTATCCACTTATTTTGTACTTCAATTTCCTCATGTAAAAACAATGGCATTTTCAGATTTCTTGCCATTCATTTGTCTGTCAGGAACATTAGTAAGTAGTACCCATTTGGGGGTGTAGGCTGAATTAAATGAATAATTACCTAACTTTTTTGTCAAGACATCTTTGTGTTTTTTTTTTTTTGAGACAGAGTCTTGCCCTGTTGCCCAGGCTGGAGTGCAGTGGCGCAATCTTGGCTCACTGCAACCTCTGCCTCCCAGGTTCAAGCGATTCTCCTGCCTCAGCCTCCCAAGTAGCTGGGACTACAGGTGCACGCCACCACGCCCAGCTAATTTTTTGTATGTTTTGTATTTTTTTTTTTTCAGTAGAGATGGGGTTTCACCATGTTAGCTAGGATGGTCTCGATCTTCTGACCTCGTGATCCACCTGCCTTGGCCTCCCAAAGTGCTGGGATTACATGCATGAGCCACCACGCCTGGCCTTAAGACATCTTAAACATGTCAAAAGACAAGATGTGGTTAATTTTTCTGAATATTTCATGAGTGCTTGGAGAAAAAAAATCTGTATTCTTTCTTTTTTGTGTCCACAAAAAATAATGATAAACTCAGAAAAATATATGAAACATATGTTGGATAAAATGCTGCTATCCCTAATATAGGGAGATTCTATCATTTGACCCCAGTTTTAAAAGCAGGCAAAAGATAGGAGCATCAAATCCTTCAAGAAGAAATCTAGATGATCAATAAACATGAAAAGATATTGATGATTTGCTGTTTTTTCCTACTGTTTTCCCAATTCTCGATTTTCCTGATTTTTGGAGTTCTCTTTATTATTTCCTTTCTTTTCTTCTTCTTTTATGTAGCAAGCACAAGCAGTCTTTCTTCTTTTTTTAAAAAAATGACAGATAAAACTGTAATATATTTATCATGTTGAACATGGCGTTTCGAAATATATATACATTGTGGAATGGCTAAATTGAGCTAATTCATATACACATTACCTCATACAGTTACTATTTTGTGGTGAGAACACTTAAAATCTACTCTTAGCATTTTTCAAGACTACAATATATCATTATAACTATAATCAATATATTGTACAATAGATTTCTTGAATTTATTTCTCCTATCTCACTAAAACTTTGTTACTTTTGACCAGTATCACCCCCAAACCCCGCTTCTCCAGCCCCTGGTAACCACCTTTCTACTCTGTACATTTTTTTTTTTTGAGATGGAGTCTTACTATTTTGCCCAGGCTGGAGTACAGTGGTGTGATCTCAGCTCACTGCAACCTCCACCTCCCAGGCTCAAGCAATTCTCCTGCTTCAGCCTCCTGAGCAGCAGGGATTACAGGTGCATGCCACCATGCCAGGCTAATTTTTGCATTTTTAGTAGAGACAGGGTTTTGCCACATTGGCCAGGCTGGTCTCGAACTCCTGACCTCAAGTGATCTGCCCGCTTTGGCCTCCCAAAGTGCTAGGATAACAGGCGTGAGCCACCATGCCTGGCCTCTACTCTCTACTTCTACAGAATCAGCATGTTTTGCTCTACTGAATAATATAAAACACATAAGGAATTTTCTTTTTATTGAACATAGTTAGAACTTACCCTGAAGCTATCTCCATAGGTGGCCATAAGACCCAGGCTTGGCCAACCAGAATAGTGAATATTCTTGGTACCATGATTTCTCCAGGAAAGGACATTTAATTAAGCTGAGCCAACCAAACCCATTCAAAACTAAAGTGAAACTTTTTCCTGGGCAATCAGGATGGAAGTGTTCACTTTTCTGCTGTGAGTGGAGCTGTAAGAACATTAATTTGGAGCTTGTATAAGCTTTTGCAACCTCAAGGAGAGAGGAAAGAGCCTGATTGTGGTAGGTTTATGGCCAATCCTGATGGATACCTTTTAAGACACACATAAAAATTAGAATGTGCTTGTCTCTAATTGTGGAGCAGTAAGAATTTCTTCTAATGGTAATAGAATGGTCCCTTAAGATTCCGAGAATCTCTGACCTGTCTGATTCCTCACTACAGACAGGCTACTAAGAACATCCAATTTGAGAGACACTGATGTGTGTAATACTGACCTTGCAGGGTTTCTTTGCTGGCTTAGTGGTCAAAGGGAAAACAATGTCAATAAATTCCCAGTTAACATCCTTGCCAATATTTGAACCGAGATCAACCTTTCTAGTCCAGCCTATTTTATTAACTAAAAATGGGGCCAACAGAGAGGAACACATAACTCAGATATGAAGAAGGACTGGGTCCTCTGGAGACTGGTTCATGATCCCCAGGGAGATTTTCCATTTTCACTAGTTCAAAGCTGTTTTTATTATTTTCTTAACTTCAGTTTCTCCCATGATGCACATAAAGTTAATTTGGGCTCTGCCAGACTCTTCACTGCTTTCCCATAATGGCTGATGAACGTTTTCCACTCTGTTTTATAGATGAGACAGCTTGCCAGTCAGCAGCTTTTGTCTCTAATCAGGGAGCTCAGTTCCAGGTCCTAACTTCTATTAGACTCATCTATAATCTTGCATGACTGTGAAAATATGGTCCCAGCTACCCACCCGTATTTCTAGATCTGATAGCCTCAGAAGCTGTTGGCTTCCGCTGCCACTGACCATTGTGGTTTTTGCCTAACTCTTCATTTCTGGCATCTAGAAATGTTTCCTTCTAGTTTTCATAGTTGCTTAAGTTCTTTTAAAAAATGTATCTAGTATTTTCCTGTATTTGGTCTGTGGGCTGATGCAAAGCCCTTCTGAATCAAACCAATCATTCATAGTAGCTAGGAATTTAATTATACTCTGTATTCTATGCCATCTTTTGTCTCTGCCCAAAACCACCTTTTTTTTTTGGTGGGGTGGGGGGTGGGTAGAATTTCCTTTTGGAGGTTTCTGTCTTCTAGCTTTAGGCTAGTAGGCTGGATGAGATGATTTCCAGACCTCCTGTAGGGCTGTCAGTCTGAGCCTTTGCTGTATGTCCTGGTAGGTGTAGCCAGTGCATCAGCGAACATGGTCACTGCCTTGTCCTCCTTGTCCTGACCACAAGGGCTTTTCAGTTCACTGACTCTGGTTTGTCTCTGTGCTTTTCCTTGGCTACATGAGGATATATCCAGTGCTCCCTTTGCATGCAGGGCATTTCCAGAGGCTGTTTAAGGTCTGCTGCCTAGATGCCCTCTCCCCTTCTTCTGCTTCCTCTCTATGATGGGCATGGGAGAAACACCGAGGTCTTGCAGGTTTCCTGGGCTACCCTTGGGAAAGAGCAGCACAGCTTCTGCTCTGGAGAACTATGCCCCCCTCCACTGACTTAACCAGAAGAGACAGAGCCTAGGTCCCCTCCCTGGAGATCCACAAGACCTAAACCCTCTTATTCCCATTCTTCTCCTCTATCTCCCAAGTTTGGGGAAATTTTCTTTAGTGTCTAGAGCAAGAGAAACTGACTCTTGGAGCATATAATATATTTTAAATCTTTTGCCTGCCTTGCCAGGTCCTTGGGTTTTTTTCACCTGAAAGCTAAGAATGAACTCTTTTGTTCTCTGTGTTATGCTGTGTCATCCTTTCCCTGAAGTGGGAAGATGGAATGCCCTGGCTGCCTGGGCTGAAGGAAGGTCACAGGGAACAATGAGGAAAAACCCTGTGAATATCTTGACATTCTGTTAATCACAAATGCTTGGGTTCTGTGTGTCATCCCCAGCTAGAACTCCACTACAATTTTTGGGAGGCGTTCTATTATTTTTTAGTACTTTATAATTAGTTGATGGATATATTTAGTAGGTTAACCTGAAATTAGCTAATTAAATCATTTGGCATATCTCCTCTATGATATCAAAACATCCCTCTTTAGCTTCTTAAATTCTAATCTGCTATTTATTCAACTCCACTCATTCATTCAGTATTTATCACCTACCTAGTGTCAGCTACTGTGGTTTTTACTGGAGGAAAGTATGAGACAAACAAATAATCCCTTCAGAGGAACTACTGACTCACATGTGGGGGAAAAATAATCCCTTCTCTCAAGATGCTTTTGTTGTGGTGGGAATGCAGACAAATCACCCCAAAATTCTAAAGAATGATAAGAGTTATAATAGTGAAATGCATAGAAAAGGGGGCAAAGGAGAGAAGGCCATTAGCTCTGGCTGGCAAAGAAAGAAAGATCTTCACAGAAGAGATGACTCTTGAGTTGGGTCTTGAAGAATGGGTCTTGAAATAGTGAAGGATGAGGAAATGCAAGTTGTGGGGCAGTGGGAAGAAAAGGCAGTTGGGGAGAGGAAGGAGCTGGTGAAGCCCCATAAAAACATGAACATGTACTAAGGGAACAGGGAGACTGTGTGGAAGTGAGAGTAGGGGAATGAGGAGCAAAAATAAAATAGGCAGAAAGAGTAGAGCGTTGCGCTTTAGGAAGTCTATCTCTCTCTCTCTCTCCCCCTCTCGATGGAATCTGGCTCTGTTTCCCAGGCTGGAGTACAGTGACGCTATCTTGGCTCACTGCAACCTCCGCCTCCTGGGTTTAAGTGATTCTCCTGCCTGGACCTCCTGAGTAGCTGGAACTACAGGCACCCGCCACCACGCCTGGCTACTTTTTTGTATTTTTAGTAGAGATGGGATTTCACCATGTTGGCCAGGCTGGTCTCTAACTACTGACTTCAAGTGATCTGCCTGCCTAGGCCTCCCAAAGTGCTGTAATTACAGATGTGGAGCCACCAACCCTGGCCCTCTTACTGTTTTCTAAATTTAAGTGATCAAATATATAACTGGGAACTTTTCATGCGCATGTAATTTTGTAAAGCTCTGCAAGTGATACAATGGTGGTAAGAAACTAATAGCTTACCATCTAGTTCATGTGTGTACTAAGTAAAATAGATGTATGAATGATTATAAAACAATTTGTATAAAACATATTAATGCTAGAGTATAACAATTTTATTTGCAGGATAAGAGAGATTAATAACACAGTAGAAAACAATCTACAATCTCAGTGGCTTAGTGGAACAAAAGTTTATTTCTTACTCCTGAGGAGTCTGCTGTAGGCCTGGGAGATTCTCCAGGACAGATGTCTGATGTGTGTTGGCTCAGCCTTTGGGGCTGCTTTGGTTACAAGGGGCTGCTTTGGTTACAAGGCGCCTCTACCTGGACATGTCTCCATGATGGCCACTGGAGAGAAGAGTGGGCAGGAGCCTCGACTACTGGCAATTAAATGCTTCTACCCAAGTCACTTCTGTTCACATTTCACTGTCAAAACAAGTCATATGATTGTGGCTAACTTCAAGGAGGGCAGGAAAGGACTATCTGCCCATGTGTGAGGATTCAGAGAGGATCAGACAGTAAAAATGCTCAGTAGCATTCAGTAAGATAAACCTAACAGGGCTGGGTGCAGTGGCTCATGCCTGTAATCCCAGCATTTTGGGAGGCTGAGCTGGGCGGACTGCCTGAGATCACCCCGTCTCTACTAAAAATACAAAAAAATTTGCCAAGCATGGTGGTGTGCACCTGTAATCCCAGCTACTTGGGAGGCTGAGGCAGGGGAATTGCTTGAACCACGGAGGTGGAGGTTTCAGTGAACCGAGATCGCACCACTGCACTCCAGCCTGGGCGACAGAACGAGACTCCGTCTCAGAAAACAAAAACAAAAACAAAAACAAAAACAAAAAAAATAACAATAGAAAGAATGAGGGGCATTCTCAAGCAGAAAGCAATCATACTTAGCATGTCATGTAATAAAAGACAATTCTGTTTTTCTGTCAATCAGTGAAAGGGTGTTCTTTGTTACTTCACTTTATTATGCCAGTAGTAACTGGCCTGCTGGAGCTATTAATTCAATCCTAGCTCCCAAGCTGGTTGATTTCGTAGAGTCTACAAGACTTCCATGCTTTCTCCATATCTTTGTTCCTTTCTTTTATGTCTCAGATATGTAGCCTAAGGAAATGGGATCTGTGTAACAGAGTTTCTGGGAAGGTTCTAGAAGGTCTCAGTCTACCTTCCAAGAACTTTTCATTGCTTCTTTGAAGACATGGGTCTTTTTGAACAAAGGTTTTTTAAGTGGTTCAACCAAATGACTTAACCTAATCAATTAGTAATGTCTCCATCTTGGAACTTAGATACCTATTAATAAGAGAGCCATCAGAGTGCAACCAGAAATTCAGCATAAGAACAATGGCAGTTGGTTATATTGATCTTAAATAAATAGAAGGGAAAAAGTGGTCCCAGGGCTTTATAAAAAGTGAGAACTCATTAAACTAAAAACCAAGAAACCCGAGTTTTCATTCTTCTTGTAAGCACTTAGGAGAAAGTCAGGAACTTCTGTGTCTTTCTTATTTATTTTGTCTTTACTTCTTACCCAATTCTTAATTATCATTCGGTATGAGTAAAAAGGGAGAATACTTGTCTACCTGTCTTAAAATTACAATGATCAAATTATTCCAAACTTTTTTTTAGTTCTTTGGAAATATGTATTACCACATATATATAAAAGAACAAGAAATCTCTACATTAGCTCTCAACTGGGGATATAACATAAATAAAACATAACTTTTCCATATTTTAAGAAGTTGGCTGCTTTAATAACTAGGAAGATTCAAGCTGTCGATATTATGTTTTAAAGTGAAATTTGGAACTGGAATTTATAATATTGTGATTGAAAACACGAGCGTTTTTTGAGATTATTAGGAAAGATAATTCAGAAATTAATGTGTAGGCTTTAGAAGGAACTGAAACCAAGCAAATACTGTTAAAAAAAAATCCCAGTTCTCCACTGCGAGTGGCCCCCTCTCTAGGGGGCAGCAGAGACGCCCGGGAGGAGACGGAGATCGCGGCGACTCAAGAGAGGCCAAGTGGGTCCGGGCAGTGCCCGCGCCAGGCTCTGAGCTGCAGCCCCAAGGGCGGGGGTCGAAGGAAGAGGCGAAGAGGCGGAGAGGCGGCTTCACGGATAAGCTTTTGCAGGCGACGCTCTCCGCCCGCCGGACGGGAGGCGGAGTAGCAGCCCGATTAAAGAAGCAGCCTGGAAGGAAGGAAGGAAGGAGCGAGGGAGGGACGGGAACGGCAGGAGGAGGAGCAGCGAGCTGGGCTGCAGCTGCGGCGGGAGGAGGAGCGGCCCCCGCGAGGCCACGTTTTGTTTTTGTTATTTTCCACTGGAGTAGTTGCCGGAGCCTTTCCTGAGGACTGACCGCGCCGCAGCCCTGCAGCCCCGACCTTCCAGGTGACAGCCGGTCACCCTGGTAGGAGTCAGCTCCGCCCCAAGTCACCCCCTCCCGCCCACAGCCCCATTCCCCGCCCAGCCACCCAGTGTCTGCCCCAGGCGAGCGCGGCGGCCGCAGCGGGGCTGCAGCGCTGGAGCCGGCGGCCGCGGGGACCCTCGGCGTGGTCCTCTGACCCTGCAAACCCGCGACGGAGGAAGGGGAGGTCCTGCCCGAGGCGCCAGCCCAAGGAGGAGGATGCCCATTTAACCCGCCCTCGCCTGCCGGGCGCTTGCCTCGGTGCCCGCCGCCGGAGCCTCCGAGCCGCGCCCGTGGAAGTGCTGCATGGGGCAGGGCTGCTGAAGCGCGGAGTTCGGGGTCGCGCCGCTCCCAGGCAGGCGCGGGAGCCCGGTGCGGCAGTTGGCACAGTTTCGGCGGCGCCTTCTGCGCGGGAGTGGGGGGCGCGGTGCGCCCGGCCGGCCTCCGCGGTGCCCTGGTGAGGCGAGAGTTATGGAGCCGCCCAGCTGCATTCAGGATGAGCCGTTCCCGCACCCCCTGGAGCCCGAGCCGGGCGTCTCAGCTCAGCCCGGCCCCGGGAAGCCAAGCGATAAGCGGTTCCGGCTGTGGTACGTTGGGGGGTCGTGCCTGGACCACAGGACCACGCTGCCTATGCTGCCCTGGCTCATGGCCGAGATCCGCAGGCGCAGCCAGAAGCCCGAGGCGGGCGGCTGCGGGGCGCCGGCGGCCCGAGAGGTGATCCTGGTGCTCAGCGCGCCCTTCCTGCGTTGCGTCCCCGCGCCGGGCGCTGGGGCCTCGGGGGGCACTAGTCCGTCGGCCACGCAGCCCAACCCGGCGGTATTCATCTTCGAGCACAAGGCGCAGCATATCTCGCGCTTCATCCACAACAGCCACGACCTCACCTACTTTGCCTACCTGATCAAGGCGCAGCCCGACGACCCCGAGTCGCAGATGGCCTGCCACGTTTTCCGCGCCACAGACCCCAGCCAGGCAAGACAGGGGCTCGGAGGCGCGGGGGCGGGCTCGGCCTTGGGGGATCGGGGAGCAGGGCGGGAGGGGCGGGGACCCCACTTTAAGGACCGACTGAGGTTTGGCTGCAGGCGCGCGCGCTCCACGTGGCGCGCTCAAGCGCCGGCTGGCCCCTTCCCTGGACCTTGGGAGTGGGAGAGAAGGCGTTCGGGGGCTGGGCGAGCGGCGGGAGCGGCCGGCCGGCTACAGCAGGGACCCGGAGGGAAAAGGACAACGGTCCCGGGATGGAGGGGGAGCTGGCGCGTCCAAGGAGCACGCGTGGAGGAGCGCCCGTCCCGGGAGGACGGCGGTGTCTGGGGTGTGACCGGAGATGGCTTGCTTGCCGTGTGTGTGTGTGTGTGTGTGTGTGTGTGCGTGCGTGTGCGCGCGAGCGCGTGTATGAACGCAGAAGGTTGGGTTCCTAGAGGTCCTCACTAGTTCTCAATCGCAGTCAAATCCTTAACCGGTTTGGCTGGTCGCGTCATCTTCGCAGCAGCACCTGCAGGTCTCCGGTCTGGGAGGCAATTTCCGAGCGGGGCTTAGGGAAAAGTTACTAGACATCGTCAGATTGTCTGCAAAGAAGGATTCTACATTTGGATATTGAATGGAAAGAAGCCCTTTTTTTGCGGTTTTTAAACACACTTATTGGAGGCAGTGTAGTAGAACAGGTTTCTAATATCATTTTTTAAATGTTTTTTTCACTTTTGTTTTTAATATTTTTTTTCCAGAGTCTTCTAAATCTAATTACCAAACAGTAAACTTTACTTCCTTAAAAACAGATATGGTCCTTATGGAACAGGGAGAGGAGAACTTGACTATGCAGTGATTGTGTCTTTGAAAACAGAGTTTTCCCCCTTTAATTTGTAATGAGTTTTCTCCCCGCCATATCAAAAGCTTCCAAAATGCTGTTTTAAAAATGGTTATTTACTGTTTGCACAGTACTTTAGGTTCTTTGGAAAAATAGTGTTGTCTAAATATAAATAAAGTCTCAGGTTGCACCATGTGGCTTTCTTTTGGTAACTGGGAAATTAATCGTAGTCAGATGAGAAAAACATCCTATAAATATGGCTTTAATTTTTTTTATTTCACAATTCTTCTGTCTGTAATTGAAAGACTTAGTTCAACAGTTTTCACAAAAGGCTTGTAGTTGAATTGAAGAAAATAATAGTTCATTGTCTTAGATTTCATCAGTTACTTTGAAAAATAGGTTTTTTTTTTTTGAGACGGAGTCTTGCTCTGTCGCCCAGGCTGGAGCGCAGTGGTGCGATCTCGGCTCACTGCAACCTCCACCTTCCGGGTTCAAGTGATTCTCGTGCCTCAGCCTCCCCAGTAGCTGGCATTACAGGCACCCAACAATCAGAACTCCTAATGTGAAGTTATGTTTATGGCATAACTGTTATGTTTATGGCAAAATATCGTACTAAAATTATTTCAAGATCCTAACCACGATTTAATGAATTTCATTTTGTGAACATTTGTTCAAAACTTATTTTTAGCTTTCACATATGTTAAAATTGGAAAGTTTCTGAAAGCTATTACATTTTATTGTATTACATTTTTCTGGTTCTGGTGGTAAAGAGGAGCCAGTTGCATTTTTCCAGGACTTTAAGGAACTTTTCATGACTCTCGGGGGTTTCTGTTAAAGTTATTTCCCCCCAGCGACATCTGATGCATGACACATTGTTGCTAATCTCATTGATGGTCCTGGCACCTTTAGTTCTCAACAGCTGCTGTTGAGTTCCTCTTGGTCTCATTGGTAGGAAGTCAATTATAAACATTCCTTTATTTTCCTCCATTATATATTTAAGCGTTAGAGGCTGAACTATATAAATATTAATATGTTTAGGCTCACTTCCCCCTTTTAGTCCAGTGGGAGCAGTGGTAGTCATATGACTTTCTCATAAAAGTTCAAGAAAACCTCTAACTTTCCTGTTTATTGCCTTTTCCCAGATGAGTGTTTGATCTAAAGATATGAATTACTATTTGCTCTTAACCAAGAGATTTCCTGGCAGAGGGTTATTAATTTGAAGGGCCAGATGTAGCGTCTCTAGAGAGCATCTCCAGCCATTAATCGGTGGTTACAAACTCAAATAACAAAGAAGAGGGTTGAGTGAGGACCATGGAGGACTGGATAGTGGGTGGCCTTTCTCAAGGTGCTACTTAGCTCCACTTGGAAATTGCATGAATAGGATGCAAGTCTAGCGTTGCTAGAGCTGCTGATTTCCCAAGAGAGAGTGGAAATCTGAATTTTTATATATGACCCCGCATTTTAAAGTACTGGCAAATATTGTAAACATTTAAGAATCCTATCTGGGCCAAACAATACACATCTGAGAGATGGCTTTAGAGATCCATGAGCGGCCACTTTTGATCTTTGGCATAAATATTTGTTGAGTGGACAAGCGCAGTCATTGACACTATGTGCTGTTTGCTGTATTTCCTTTAGAGCATCCAGGTTCATTTGATATGGCTGTCATAGTAGGGGAAGCTGGGACCATCCTTTTTGAAGAATTTAGCAGAAAAATTCCCAGAAGTGTTGATTCTGCAGCTAGACATGTTAAAGGGGTCAGTTCAACATATTATCATCCAGCAGTATGCTTCATGCAGAGTTGGCTGTGGATAGTTCTAGGGACCCTTGAAATCAGAAGGAAGACCTGCTGTTTGCTTTGTTCTGAGTTCTATATTTGAAGTGGAGAATTATTTATTTGGACTTAAGATCATTGTTAAGAGAGTCTCCTAAGTGTTTCCCTCAGTCCTCGACAGAGTCTATAAAGTCTACAAACGTAGCCTAGAGCAGTAGACCTGCAAACATCCCCTAACATACTTGTCTGTGGTTTGTCTGTCATGCCTATTCCTTTAATGCAATGGCCCTATCTGTTGGATGACCGTATACTTTATTGTTTGATATGGGACAATTTTATTGTCAAAAGGGGCACCACTAATAATTATACAAGCACTGTGAGTAATAAACCTGGACTGTTGAGGACAAACCGAGATATATGGTCACCATGGCAAAGTTTGTGTTCATGCAGAGCCACCGAGTTGGAGGATTGTGGTTACTAATATAAAATGATAATGTTTTCAAGAGTATCTACTCACATATTGGAGTTGGATCTACATTTGACCTTAGAGCTGGGAGTGCTGTACTAATCGCTTGGGGGTCTGTTGTGGGGAGTTGCCACAGTGATGTGTTCCCTCTTGGCTCCACACCTCCCTTTGGGTCAGAGTCAATTTAAGGATGTGTGTCAGGAGAAGCATTCAACCAGAATGGCTCAATGCACCACTGTTTCTCCAAGGTGCAAAGAGAAATGGAGATGGGGGTGAAATGTATGCCAATGCAGATCTGTCTCTAGTCAAGCCTATGTAGTCTTATACAGGAGGAATGTCAGGCTTAGCACATTTCAGCTAAACTTGAATATTTGAACTGGGAAAAGGGCTTAATCCCATTGGCATGAAGTGAATTACAGACTTAAACTGATTGGGGAAACAAGAATATCTGATTCTCTCCCAAAGGTCTAGGATAGGTCACTAATACTCTGTAAATATTTATCCACTTGCAAAAAGAGTCTGTATGGCATTACCCAAATTTTTCTGTTAAAAAGTTATTTTATGTTATACATACATTACTACAATAAAAAATAAAGCAGGAGTTGTTATTGAAAATATGAGACTTTGTTATGTTAATTTTTAATTAACATTTGCCTGTGAGTTTTGAAGCATCATTATGTTTTATAATTATAGGATGAACAATCATTTAAAAGGTAAAAACATGATTGTTATAATGTTTATTGGTTGTTTTTGTGTATTATTTACTGAAGCTTGCAAGAATGATTTTAAAGAGACTTTACAAATTGTGTTCTTAAGATTAAAAAAAGGAATTTAATGCCAGTGTTTTCCCAACTCTCAGTTCTCTTAAAAACGTGTATTACTATCTGAGCTTTATTCACGTAACCAGTTTTTTTGTCAATATATTTTTAGAAGGTCATTTTTCAGTTCTTTTTCAAAGTTGATGGTTAGTAGCTTTGAGAATATACTAGTAAGAATACCAGAGAAATTGAAACCTGGAAGATTTCACCTCTCTGTGCTTTCTAAGAAGTTTGTTCTGTGGACAGATAGATCTATCTCTTTTTTTGTAATCATTTTTTATTCTCTCTCCTCCTTGCAGTCTGAAGTGGAGGTTAATTTGCCTTGGCTCTGTGGTAGAATCTTGACTGCAATATCTGGCGGAAAGGCACAAACATAGCCCAGAGACTCCCAGCCACAATGGAGCACATTATGATAGGAGCCCTAAGCTGAAAATTGAAGGTGTTCAGTGTCAGGGCTTGATTATCAGAAACCAGAGATTCTCAAACTTCAGTGTGTGTGTCAGAATTACCTAGAGGGCTTCTTAAAAGAGACCACTGGACCCTACCCTCAATTTCTGATTTAACAAGTTCTCTGGTGATGCTCAAACTACTGGCCGGGTGACCACAGTTTTAGAAACCCTGTGCTAAGTTATTTGGTTCATTTGGTTGGCTGTATGACCATTTCTGTTCCCCTGGATATTTTTGTAGTCTTTCTCAGACTTGAAAGTTCAAGTGGAATGTGAGGAGAAATAATATTTGACTCTGGAATATTTTTAAGAAGCTCTTCATCTTCTAGCTTAATGATTTGCCTGTCCTTTCCCTGATATAGACATTATTCTGCCAGACATCATAAGACCATGCAAATGTTGAATGAAAACTTTGCCTTTCAGCCAAAAGTTTTAAGTTCTGCAGGTGGAATAAACAGTTCATTTTGAGGGGAATACAGATAACCTAAAAATCTGAAGTCCAAAGTGTTTTAACGTCAGAAACGTTTTGAGCATCAACATGACACTACAGGTGGAAAATTCTTCACCTGATTTCATGAGATCACAGTCAAAACACACAAAATTATTAAACATATTGTATAAAATTACCTTGAGGCTATGTGTATAAGGTGTATAGAAACACAAATGAAGTTTTTTTGTTGTTGTTGTTTATTTTTTTGAGGTGGAGTCTCGCACTGTCGCCCAGGCTGGAGTGCAGTGGCGCGATCTCGGCTCACTGCAACCTCCACCTCTCAGGTTCAAGTGATTCTCCTGCCTCAGCCACCCAAGTAGCTGGGATTATAGGAGTGCACCACCACGCCCAGCTAATTTTTGTATTTTTAGTAGAGACGGGGTTTCACCATATTGGCCAGGCTGGTCTCAAACTCCTGACCTCAAGTGATCTGCCCGCCTGGGCCTCCCAAAGTGCTGGGATTACAGGTATGAGCCTCTGCACCCAGCCAGAAACATAAATGAATTTTATACTTAGACTTGGGTCTCATCCTTAAGATATCTCATTATGTATATGCAAATATTCCAAAATCTGAAAAAAAAATTCAAAATCTGAAACACTTCTGTTCCCAAGTATGTTGGATAAGTGATACGCAACCCATATATCCTAATTTCAGATTATGATAGTTTTTGAAAAAATTAAAGCTTGATTTACAGCCTGAGAAATAACACCATTCAGTAAGGCAGAGACTGTTCACATGCCCTTTTCTCATTTTGGAATGAGTAATTGCTTGGTGAGGAAACTGATGATTTCCATGAATTTTCTAGATTATCTGGTATATTATTTACCTCATAAGTAAAAGAATCAAGTCAGAAAAATAGCAGCATGCTTAGTATACTGGCTATTAAGAAAATCATGCAAAAAGAAGTAGAGTTGGGCAATTTAGTGAATAAGATAATGGCCAGCCTAAATAATTACTGCAAACAATTTTATTTACTTAAAAAAACCTCAAGGCTTCTGTTTGTTTAAAAATATCTGGCTGGTAGTTTCAGAGTCCCCTTTCCTTTAGACTACATTGGCATGTCTGAACCAAGCCAACATGCAGTTACTTGGATGTAGCCCCTTGGAAAGTGAAGAACAGCTCAATTATGATTTAATGTAATAGTATATTCAGACTTATTTGACCAAGTAAAGGATTTTTCTTGACATATGGTCTGCATAAAATATGTATACAAATTGAATACCTCACTGGGATGTGCCAACTCTAAGGATGTCATTGGCTTGTTACTTTAAGGTTGGAATATGGTATGTAATATGGTATGTTGACATTGCACTGTCAAGTTTGTCTGAGTAGCTCCTTAATGCATTTCCTTAAAAGTGAACGTTTATTGAGCTCTTCCTGGGTGATAGCACTACTCTCACTGCTTCTCTTAGGAGATCACCCTTTAGCTTCACAGTAACTGGGTGAAGTACGTACCAGTATTTCCTTCATTTTATAGATGAGAAAACTGAGATATAGAAAGGTTAAATTATGGGCCGGGCGTGGTGGCTCATGCCTGTAATCCCAGCACTTTGGGAGGCTGAGGCAGGCGGGTCACCTGAGGTCAGGAGTTCGAGACCAGACTGGCCAACATGGTGAAACCCCATCTCTACTAAAAATACAAAAATTAGCCAGGTATGGTGGCATACGCCTGTAATCACAGCTACTTGGGAGGCTGAGGCAGGAGAATCGCTTGAACCTGGGAGATGGAGGTTGCAGTGAGCCTGGATCGTACCACTGCACTTTAGCTTGGGCGACAAAGTGAGATTAAAAAAAAAAAAAAAGGTTAAATTATTTCTCCAAGGTCACAAGACCTTGGTAGAAGCATATTTCTATCCAGGCAGATTCTAAAGCTTGTTTTCTTTTCTTTTTGAGACGGAGTCTGACTCTGTCGCCCAGGCTGGAGTGCAGTGGCGCAATCTCGGCTCACTGCAAGCTCCGCCTTCCGGGTTCACGCCATTCTCCTGCCTCAGCCTCCCGAATAGCTGGGACTACAGGCACCCGCCACCACGCCTGGCTAATTTTTTGTATTTTTGGTAGAGACGGGGTTTCACCGTGTTAGCCAGGATGGTCTCGATTTCCTGACCTCGTGATCCGCCCGCATAGGCCTCCCAAAGTGCTGGGATTACAGGCGTGAGCCACTGTGCCCGGCCAGTTTTCTTACCTGCTACACTAGAATGCAGTTATTGAAAATTAGTTTTTAGTTGTTGGTCTTATCAGCTTTTATACTATCACTTTTTCCTACTCATATTAAAAATCTCCACAGGTAAATATGCTTATTAAGTTTGTAAAATAATAATTAGTGCTGAATGCACACTTGGGTATAGTTATGCCAGTATGTACTTTCCATTTTAAGGGGAAATAAAAAAAGTTTGTTTGATTTGTTGGGCTGGTAAGGCTGAACTCTGGTGTACCTTTGATTTAGTGTCTTTAAGTATGGCGGGGGAATAAACTATGAGTCTATAGTATTTATAACCATTATAATTTTAGGTTAGAATAAAAGATCATTAGGATCTACATTTAAAAACAAGTAAACCATGAATTTGAATTTATTTTATTGAATTATAAAGTATATGAATATCTTTTAATATGTCTTTGATATCTGTGATTATATGACAGGGACAAAATATAGGATTAAAACTTTGGTTGGTTTCATTTCAGATAATCTTGCCATAGGTTTGTGCAGTCTCAGCAGAAGGAAATCAGGGTTGTTATTACTGTTTTACTGATCTCTTCCAAGTTTCACTTCTTGCAAGATGTTGGGGTTGGAAAGAGGATCTCTAAGTAATGGAATCTTTCTGGCTAAAAATAGGAGCCTACATTGGCTGCTGCTTTAGCGTTTTTATTTTGTGGATACCCTTAACCAGTTGAATAGTCTTCACTTTTAACTTTTGTGAATTTTCACACAAATTTTAAAAATTCTCTAAGTTAGGACCATGGAAACTTTGTGCTATCAATATTACATAATTTGTGAATAGTTTACTATCAGTCTCAGATTCTAAGTCAAACACAGTGCTTCTGGTCGAACAAATCTAGAAATCTTCTGTATCTCACAATTGTATCTTCTTTTGTATCTTACAATTGTATCTTCATATATATTTTTAATAATGGGTTATGTAACTTGGACAAATACATTTATGGCTGGGACCTTTTAAAATTCAGTAAAAATTGGGAGGCCGAAGCAAGCAAATCATTTGAGACCAGGAGTTTGAGACCAGCCTGGCCAACACAGTGAAACCCCATCTCTTCTAAAAAAATAGCAAAAATTAGCCAGGTGTGGTGGTGCATGCCTGTAATCCCAGCTACCCAGGAGGAGGCTGAGGCATGAGAATTGCTTGAACCTGGGAAGTGGAGGTTGCAGTGAGCCGTGATTGTGCCACTGCACTCCAACCTGGGCGACAGCTTACTCTGTCTCCAAATAAATAAATAAATATCAATGAGTAAATTGTTTTTGGTCCTTACATGGCTCCCAGCTTTTTCAACTCATCTCTTGCCTTGGTTTCAGTCATTTAATTCCCATTGGCTGGGCAGTCTGAGAGCTTTTCCTGAGTTTACCTGAATTAAACTGATAGCCTTTCTCCTTGATTCTCCAGGTAATTATTGCTCCCAGATTTCCAGTAGCAAGTTCTTTAGGAGACTAGTTTGGATCCCTCATTATTCTGTGTTGGAACTCCCTGATTCTGCTGCTCCCTTTGAAGACCACCCAATGCTTGTTGCCTAACTCTTTACAGATTGTGCACTACTTGCCTGATTGGATTTCTTTCTAGTCATGGAAGCTGGCCTTCTTTTTCCTGAGAGAGTATCTAGTTATGGTCCTCGCCCCTTCCTGTTAGCTCCTTCTAAGGCTGTTAACAGATTTTATTTGCAGACAGATTTTATTTTGTACAGATTTTATTTTGGCTGTCGTATGGAATTTTGTAAAAGCCTGTTGGCATGAACATAGTGGTGGTGGTGGGCATGACCCTTTTAAATCCATCCACAATTCTTTTTTTTATTTTTATTTTTTTTCTCTGAGACGGAGTCTTGCTTTGTCACCCAGGCTGGAATGCAGTGGCGTGATCTCGGCTCACTGCAACCTCCGCCTCCCAGGTTCAAGCAGTTCTCCTGCCTCTGCCTCCTGAGTAGCTGGGACTACAGGCGCCTGCCAGCACACCCAGCTAATTTTTGTATTTTTAGTAGATACGGAGTTTCACCATGTTGGCCAGGCTGTTCTCTCTTGACCTCATGATCCGACCACTTCAGCCTCCCAAAATGCTGGGATTACAGGCGTGAGCCACCGCAATGGCCCATCCATATTTCTTTTCTTTTTTTTTTTTTTTTTTTTGAGACAGAGTCTGGCTCTGTTGCCCAGGCTGGAGTACAGTGGCACAATCTTTGCTCACTGCAACCTCCACCTACTGGGTTCAAGTGATTCTCCTGCCTCAGCCTCCTGAGTAGCTGGGACTACAGGCGCCCGCCACCATGTCCGGCAAATTTTTGTATTTTTAGTAGAGATGAGGTTTTACCACGTTGACCAGGCTGGTCTCGCACTCCCGACCTCAGGTGATCCGCCCGCCTCGGCCTCCCAAAGTGCTGGGATTACAGGCGTGAGCCACAGTGCCTGGCCATCCACAATTCTTTTTATCTAATTTGAGGCAGGTAGGCAGGTTCAATAGGCAGATCTTTGTCTAGTTTCTTTCTTTTTTTTTTTTTTTGAGACAGTCTCACCGTCACCTAGGCTGGAGTGGTGTAGTGGCCCAATCTCGGCTCACTGCAACCTCCGCCTCCCAGGTTCAAGCAATTCTCCTGCCTCGGCATCCCATGTAGCTGGGATTACAGTTGTGTGCCACCACACCTGGCTAATTTTTGTATTTGTGGTAAACACTGGCTTTCACCATGTTGGCCAGGCTGGCCTGGAACTCCTGGCCTCAAGTGATTCTCCCGCCTTGGCCTCCCAAAGTGCTGGGATTATAGGCTTGAGCCACCCGGCCTGGCTTTGTCTAGTTTCTAATAGCAGTATTAAACAATATGAAAACAGGTGGTGGTGTATTCTATTTATAGATACCCCTTTATGTTTTATCTTGCTCCATTAATTTTAAACCTTTCCACTGGTCACATTATTCTGTTAATAACATTTGATAAATTTGTTTATTCTCTGTTCATGTAAATAAAGTACATTAGTTATAACATAGAGACTGTCACCTAATGCCTAATCCTCCATCAGGGATCTGGAAGTTAATTGGCATATCACGTTTCTTCTACTGGAAGTTAGGTTGGAGATATATATATATATATTTAAAAATTAAATTGTTCATTTTAATAAGTGGAGTGTGAACATGACATAATTAAATCTGTCTTAACATAAGAAAGTAAAGGACTTCTTTAGAATAAAGAATATATAAAAATCAACCTTTAATTTCTCCAGTATTTTCACCTAAGCCCACCATATAGTTTTTTTTTTTTTTTGATACAGGGGCTCACTTTGTCACCTGGGCTGGAGTGCAGTGGCGGATCTTGGCTTACTTCAACCCCCACCTCTTAGGTTGAAGTGATTCTTGTGCCCCAGCCTCCCAAGTATCTGGGACTACAGGCACGCTCCACCGCACCTGGCTAGTTTATGTATTTTTTGGTAGAAACGAGGTTTCACTATGTTGGCCAGGCTGGTCTTAAACTCCTGACCTCAGGTGATCCACCTGCCTTGGCCTCCCAAAGTGCTGGGATTACAGGCCACCATGCCTGGCCAACCCATCATATAGTTTAACAGAGATTTTTATCTGTCTTTTGCTTGATCTACCAAAATTACCCAGCATTTGACTTGATGTTTAGGAGCTATACCCTAAACTTCTAGGAGCCAGATTAATGATGATAAAAATAGCACCTAATCACTTTATATTTATTTACTCTCTAGACCAGAGATTCTCAAATTTAGGACTCCTCCCTTGGACGTTTTGTTACAATATGATTGCTGGACCCCAACCCTGACCCCCGGAGTTTTTGATTCAGTAAGTCTAGGGTGGTATCTTAAATTTGCATCTCTAACAGTTCCCAGGTGATGTTGATGCTGCCAGTCTGGTGCCCACACTTTGACAATACGGCAGTAGACAGTGGGTTGGCAAAACTATAGCCTTTATTTTTGTAAATACAGTTTATTTGAACACAGCCCAGCTCATTTGTTCATATATTGTTTATGTTTTCGTGCTACAGTGGCAGTGCTGAGCATTTGTGACAGAGACTTTATGGTCCCCAGGCCTAAAATCTTTATTATCTGGTCCTTTATGGAAAAAAAAATTGATAACCCCTGCTCTAGACAATCTTGTAAAAAATAATAGGTATTTTAACTCTCATTTTATAGATGAGAAAACTAAAGCTCAAATACTTCTCTTAAGGACTGGAGCTAGTAAGTGGCAGATCTGGGATTCCAAACCCCATGTCCTTTCTGAAACCTACTTAAAAATTTTTTGTTGACGGCTTCCACATTTGTTACTATAGCCCAGCCCTCTCCTCTGAACCCAAACTTTCTTCAGTATTTAAATGCTTATTTGACATCTGCACTTGAATATATACTTGCTGTCATAACTGGGAATTATATTTGAATCCTACTTTTTCACTCACCAATTTCAATCATTGAGGCAAGTCACATTGATTCTGCCTCCGAAACTCTTTTTTTGGAGGGGTAGGAGACAGATTCTTGCTCTGTGGCCCAGGCTGGAGTACAGTGGTGCAGTCGTAGCTCACTGCAGCCTTGACTTTCTGGGCTCAAGTGATCCTCCCACCTCAGCCTCCCAAGTAGCTGAGACTACAGGTTCCAGCCACCATGCCTGGCTAATGTTTTAAAAAATTTTTTGTAGAGATAGGGTTTGGCTATGTTTCCCAGGCTGGTCTCAAACTCCTGGGCTCAAGCAGTCCTCTTGCTTCAGCCCCCTAAAGTGCTGGGATTACAGGTATGAGCCACAGCACCTGGCCAAAATTCATTTTTTGTATGTCCACAGCTCTCCATTACCACTGACACCACCCGGATCTCACTACCTTATCTTTTGCTGGGACTATCATACTGCCTCTCACCTCTTCTCCTTGTTCTCAGCTTGCTCTCCCATCAGTCCCTTCTTTTATGGAGCAGTAGGAGAGGTAAAATACGAGCCAGATCAGGTTTCCCTTGCATTCAGAATAATATGCAAATTCCTTATCATGTGATCGTGTGTGACTCCGCCCCGTTCATCTCCGGGTGTCTTCTTGAAGGCTGCTCTCCTGCATGCATTACATTCAGACATATAAGTCATCTCCCCTATCCTTAAACAAGCTCAACTCTTAAATCACTCCAGAGCCTTTGTACTTGTGACTGCCATTCTTTGCGAGCTTAGTTTTTTATCCTGGGCTTCAGTTCTCTGTTAAATTGCAAATGTCACTTCCTCAGATTGGCCTCCATTAGGTGGGTAGCCCACTTTTTCACTTCTGTCTCAGCCATTTGTTTTTCTTTTGACACTTAACTCGTTTAAAATTAATTTTCTTTTTTACACTTCCGGGGAGCACTGTCACCACCTCTGGAATGTAAGCTTCACACTGAGCGAGATCTTACCTGCACATGGTTGTGTGCCCAGAACCTAGTTCTGTAGTATGGGTTCATTCCAACGAATTGAAATTAGGTTGAGTAAGAATTGATCCCTGCCCTCAAGGAATTTAAGTCCACAGGAGCAGATTAATGTCTACTGGCAAAGATGTATGTTTGTTTTCATATGGTTGCCTTTAGTTTTCATCATGTTTAACAAGTGGTGATTGTATTCTGTTTGCACGATATTTTTTGTTATGGCTACTTATAAATTTAGAGCCATCATACTGCTTATAATATTAAAAAGGATTATAAAGTAACTTACGTAATTTCTGAAAATATTTTGTTGTCTAATTTGAGAAGGGCTTTTTTTTTTCCCTCCTGATCAAAACATAGGAAGTTTGCTAAAGCTACCAACAGGAGAATGTGTGTCTCCTTGTCCTTTGTGAGTTGAGGATTTGGGGATTGGAAGATGATCAGCCTTAATGATTTTACAAATATATCCATGCAATAATTGGATTTATTTTTAGTTTCAGTTCAGTTCAGTTATTTAGGCTTCCCAGTGGTAACATGATCTCATTTGGAAGCCTATTTAGTAACACAGTGCTTGAGAATGGCTTTGGTAAGTTTTTACTCCCAAATCTGAAACTGACCATTTTCTTAGGCCCAAGAAGCTGGACTAGACCCAAGAAATTGAAGCTCTGGACCCCACTCTTCCGTAATTAGTCATGTAACATGAAAAATCCAGATCATGATTTCTTAGTTGTTCCTTTGTTCATTACCCTGTTTATTTAAAAACCAACAAGGTTAATAGCTTTTTAAGGCCTTTCTTAACAAATCGGCAGGGCAGGGCTAAGAGTTGTTTCAAATGCTTTTTGAAATCAAAAAGGGAAATGAATGAATGGAGAGGAGATCCATCTGGGTGAGGTCAGAGAAGAGTAAGAAAAAAAACTGTGGCCAATGTCCACAGTGAACTCTTGACCAACTATAAGATACAGGGTTTGTATTCTGGATTTCTTTATTTGCGAAAACAGCATGCTCTTGTGACAGAATAATAATCACTGCTCTTGTATGTATTTTATTTAATACTTGGAATAAGAGGTTTTGGTAGGTCGATTATACTTTTCATGGCCACTGAGATATGCACCAAGCTATAGATAAGATGGCAAGTAAGACTGCAGTATTCTTGTGGGTTGGGGTTCTACTTTAAAGAAAAAACTACACAAGGAAAGATAACTTTATTTTTCTAGAAAAACCTAACAGGGGCCATAGTTGTATGCCTTTGTAAATATAGGCTCTCTGCTTCCACCTCCTTCCTCAAAAGGGCCTTTTCTCCTCCTTCATAGTCTGTCTAGTATGAGCAATACTCATTTCTACATTTCTTCAATGTTTGGTCCCTTACATGGTGTAGGAGAGTCTCATACAGTAATAAGTTCTAAACAGCTTTTCTTTTTACACCATTGATGAAGCAGTATGTGGTTTATGTATGCGTTTCTCTGTTTTGTCATTAGTTTTTATAATAATTGAAATGATTTTTGGAAACCCGCTTTCCATTATAATCTTGACCCAAAAACATAGATATTGCTGATGATGTGTTGTTCAAAGCAGCAAACACAGCTGCTTGTTAAGGCAAAAGGCAAATATGAAAATAGACAGTTTCACAACATGTTTGCTTATTTACAAAGGCTGTTTTCTTTTGTTCTTGGAGTAGAGGATAAACACATCATTTCTGTAAAGGGACAAGCTGTAATGTACATATTGAGTATGAGAGTTACTTGTTAGCATTGATTTGAGTCATAATATATTACCCCGTTTACTTAGGAACCAGTCAGGTTAATAGATTTTTTTTGTGCCTGTGATTGTACCAGTTAGTAGTTTCTCTGGAAATCTTGTTCGCTATGATTTTTCTTCTGAAAGCAGAATTGATTCTAGATATTGGCAGTGGAAACTGACATATATATGTCCTGTAATTGTTTTTTGGCTGCTTACATTTTTCAGATGTTTTTTTTTTAATTTTTAAATTATTATTATTTTTTTTTGAGACAGAGTCTCACTTTGTCACGAGGCTGGAGTGCAGTGGCATGATTTTGACTCACTGCAACCTCCGACTCCCTGGCTTAAGCGATTCTCCTGCCTCAGCCTCCCGAGTTGCTTGGGTTACAGGCATGCACCACCATGCCCAGCTAATTTTTGTATTTTTAGTAGAGATGGGGTTTCATCATGTTGGCCAGGCTGGTCTCGAACTGCTGACCTCGTGATCTGCCCGTCTCGGCCTCCCAAAGTGCTGGGATTACAGGTGTGAGCCACCATGCTGGCCATCAGATGATATATTTTTAAAAGCCACGCTACTACCGTGAAAGAGAATTACAACAAATGCTTTGCATATATTTAGATCTTCATAATTCAAGTGGAGACTTTGAACTGATTATTAGAAAATTGTTGATTTAAAAAATTATTGTTAAATATCCTCAGTACCTGATAGTGCATAGGGTTTTATGTATATTTTCTGCTTTAGACTCTTGCTGTCAATGAACAAAATGTTCATTTTTCTAGTGCGGATGGAGTAAATGCAGGAAAATCCCATCCTTCTCACATCGTTCTCTGTTTTGAACATGTTCACTGTAATCGGTCTTAAAAGAAGTAACTAACTTCTGCTAAGTTTTCATTTGCCATTTGGTGGCTTTGCAAAGGAGAAAAGACCACTTATTATTGACTACGCAAGTGTGACCCTGTGGAATAGGTGTTGATGAAAAGAGTCAAAGTCTACTAGGTATTTGAAGAGATTTATTCTGAGACAAATAGGAGTGACCAACGGCCTCTGACACAGCTCTCAGATGATCCTGAAAACATATGCCCAAGATGGTGAGGCCACAACTTGGTTTTAGGGAGACATGAGACATCAGTCGATACAGGTGAGATGTACGTTGGTTCAGTCTGGAAAAACAGGACATGTAGAAGTGGGGGCTTCCAGGTCACAGGTAGATTAAAAGATTTTCTGCTTGGCAACTGGTTGAAAGAGTTATTTTCTAAAGACTTAGAATCAATGGAAAGGAATGTGTGGGTTAAGATAAGGGGTTGTGGAGACCGAGGTTGTATCATGCAGGTAAAATCTCTAGGTAGTAGGCTTCAGAGGGAATAGATTTTAAATGTTTCTTGTCAGACTTAAAGAGTCTGTTCTATCAGTAATTACAAAAGGGAGGAAGGTATAATGAGGTGTGCCTGCCCCCCAACCCAATCATGGCATGAATTGGTTTTCAGGTTAACTTTGGAATGCCCTTTGCTGAGAGGAGGGTCCATTCACATGGTTGTAGGGGCTTAGAGTTCTATTTTTGCTTTGCACAGGGACCTCCAGTTTGAGAAGCCAGACTGGAACCAGGAAATTGAAGCTCCGCTCTCCACCCTTCTGTAATTAGTCATGTGACATGAAAAGTCATTTGATCTGGATTATGATTTTCTAGCTGTTCCTTTGTTCATTACCTCATTCATTCATTCATTCATTCACTTGCTCATTCCCTCAACCATTCCTTCATTTGTTCAGTTATGTTGTAAACTGAATGCCTCCAGTGTGCCTGGTACTGTGTTGGATCTTGGTATAGAGTGTTGTATAAAGCAAATGCATTCACTGCTTCATGTATCTTAAAATTTTGCAGAGGAGTGGGACAAAACTAAGTGAAAAACAGCATTAGTTGATAGCAGAGTTCCTGGACTCTGGAATCCGACTGCTGGGACTCCAGGCTCCACCACTTACGGCCCTGCGCAAGTTCTGGCACCTGTCTGTACTTGTATGTCCTCATTTATAATATGGGGATGGCAAAATGTGCAGATTTCATAAGGCTGTTGCGAGGAGTGAGTGAATTCATTTGTATAAAGCACTCAGAACAGTACCATATGGTAAGTACTGTGTAGATGTTAGCAACATAACTACAAATTTTCAATTTCAAATTGTGATGAAGGCTATGAAGGAAAAGAAGGTAATGTTATGAGGAAAAAAAAGAGGAAACTTACTCTAGATTGGGTTTTGTAGTAGGTAGTTTCTTCAGTTCTGTTTTCCTAACAAAATCTTGTTTTTATTCAGTCATTTCTCCTTCTGTCTCTCAGCCAGTAGGCTACAGGAAAGATTTGCCCAGGAATCCAGGCCCAAGCCAGTTTGTAAGTTTGTCCCTGGACATACAGTGGTTCCAGGAAATGTGTCTCAGTTTGTGCCAATGCAAGATCAAGGGCATTTGCCAGGTGCCGAGACCAGCCCGGTTGTGAAGACCCTAACCCAGTGGTGCTAGAGGAATTAAAGACACACACCCAGAAATACAGAGTGTGGAGTGGGAAATCAGGGGGCTGACAGCCTTCAGAGCTGAGAGCCCTGAACAGAGTTTTACCCACATATTTATTGACAGTAAGCCAGTGATAAGCATTGTTTCTATAGATCACAGATTAACTAAAACAGGAAACAAAGGGATGGGCTGAAACAAAGGGATGGGCTCTGGCTAGTTATCTGCAGCAGGAGCATGTCCTTAAGGCACAGATTGCTCATGCTCATGTTTGTGGCTTAGGAATGCCTTAAGTGGTTTTCCACCCAGCATGGGCCAAGTGTTCCTTGCCCTCGTTCCGGTAAACCCACAACCTTCAGCGTGGGCGTCATGGCCATCACGAACATGTCACAGTGCTGCAGAGATTTTGTTTATGGCCAGTTTTGGGGCCAGTTTATGGCCACATTTGGGAGCCTGTTCCCAACAGCCAGGGGCTCTGAGAAAGTTTTCTAATTGGTTGTTGCATGTGGATTTAGAAACTGGAACTGTTATAATTATTTCACTACCAGAAAGATGATGAAGTTAACATACTGAGGAGGGCATTGTTTGGACATCTGGGAAAAACTGTACCTGAATTCTGACAGAAATAAACCTGATTACTACTACCGGTGGTACTTTTTCAGTTTACATGAGTTGAGTTGGTTTTTCTGTTACTTGTAGCCAAAAGAAAGAGATGGGTCACAGAAGGCCACTTGTGGAGGTGAACAATTCAGGATAACTTTAGATTTGCTGATTTTTTTACTAATGGGTAGATTTGGGACCATTTACCAATATGAGGAAGGCTGGTTGGGGGAATGTGGGAGAAACAGGTTTTAGGGGTAAATCAGGAGTTCTTATTTCTATAATAAGATGAGCTGATGTTAACAGTGGTTTGCAAGCTTTTTCTTTTTCTGACCTAAGATACCTCAGACATATCACATCTTAATATCAGTAATTGTGATTTCTAAAGAATTGGCAATCATTTTCACCAATACTGAGGTTGATGAAATCAAAATCTTATTGGGGGCAGGTAGGAAGGGTGATATATCAGTGTTTTTCAATTTGATTGCACATAAGAACTTCATGGGGAGTTAACAAATGTGTACATGTCTACTAGATTCTTGGGTCCTTCTGTAGAGATGTAGAATCAGAATCTCCAGTGTGGGCCCTGGGAATCTCTGTTTAAAAATGGGCCATTGGGATGGAGTCAGCTTAGCACTTTTGTGCAGCCTTAATTTGGAGAACCAGTGCATTAGGGGACCCAAGGCCCCTTCCTATACAGGTTTTTTTAATTATGACTCCAGGAATCAATTCCACTTAAGCTCAGGAAACACCAAGAGCCTTAGGATTTGCCACAGTACAGTCTTGTTAAAACACATGAGTAACATCATTACACTACTGCTTCTTGACACCACCTCTGGTGAGATTGTTATGACTTTTTTTTTCTATAGTGTTAGTGAAAACTCGATCTCTGCAGGAATATTGGCAATACTGTGAGTGCGTTAACAGTTACCAAATGCTTGGGTGTTTGACTGATGGTTATTAGAACATCTGTCACTTAAACAGCAGTTAAAATATCACTTTACGTATCAATAGTTTGGCAGTTTCCTGGAAAGTCAGGTGGTAGATCAGCCTGTAATCATAAGGTTGTGTTCTACAGTCATTGCAAGGACATTATTACCCATGCTTTGCTGAAGCTAGATAATACCAATAGATGAAATCTGTTGTCAGATGGTAAGAGGACATGAGTCTAGGACACACTGAAGCATAATTATGAGCGGTGTTACAAGCAGCGGGGAGGTGGGATGATCTGTGATGGTGATGAGCCAAGGAGGGTCGTGGCTCCAAGGCCCAGACAGGGTCCCCAAATAATGAGGTGATCTACAGGAAGACATTACTCTAATTAATGTAATTAAGACTTTATTTATAGTCATTTGGGCTACATTGTCAGCAAACCAATTTGCCCAAGGTGGTAATGATTCTCTCAGCTTTGGAAAATGATGCTGTAGGCATTGGTGTAGGGATGGGGGGCAGGGGAGGGTACAATTTAGCTCTGCTTTGTCAAATCTTTTTTTTTTTTTTCCTTTTTCCCTCTACCCTCCACCCTCAGAGGTTTGTGAGTGCTGGAAGAACATTTAGTCCTGGAAAAAGGCAATATTTTAACTCTTCTACCTAGTAAGAGATAAAGTTCTGACTTGACTTCCCCAGAAAGCAAGCAAGTTATAAATATAACATTCTTCTCTTTGCTTATCTATTTTTTGAGGTAATGTACAATTTGGTAGTTACCCTAGGTATCATATTAAACTTTAGGTCTGTAGATGTGGGGTGAGGCTTAGAACGTTGGACACCTCGGACACATTTGCATCTGTTCCTCTGGTCCATTTGCTGTTTCCGTAATTGAACTGCCCTTCATGTATATAGTTGATCTGAGACTAATAAAAATAATAATAATAATATAATAATGGTGATGGCATAGGATTTTTAGAGGGTAATTCTTGGTTATGGATTAGGCAGTGAGAGCCATGAGAATTTTGTAGTTGTCACAGTGTTTTAATCATACTTGTTACCAACATTGTCATCACCACACTGTGACCATTAGCAAATATTGGTTGAGGCTAATCAAGTGTAAGATTAGCAGGTTGACAACTGGGAATAAGAGGTTTAAGTGATTTCAGCATAACAGATAAACACTGGTAGTAGCCTAAGCTCATGTTAATTATGAAGTGAAGCTGTAGAGATAGTACACATTGTTGGGGCACTCGGTATTCTCCGACATGAGATCTGCAATTGGTTTCAAGAAATGTGGAAGTTTCAGGGCCTGGTTGAAGAGTGTTTCAAGGGAAAATTGATAAATAAGTAACATTTAAGCCTTCTGCAGGTTTTCATTCTTTAACAAAATGTCTCAATCTGTTAGAGACTTAAAAGTCAGTGTAGCTACCTGTATGTAGGAAATGAAGAACTCAATGATTAGGAAATTTTAATGATAGTGCTTTTTCTGTCATTCTTACATTTCTATAAATAATATGACATTTACAGGTTGAATCAAGTTAAACATTGCTTTCAGTGGCTTCATGGTGATTTCCACATTCCTTAGAAATATAATCATAGTACTTTGAAAGAGAATTTTGGTACAGCTAGAAAGTTTATAGCACTTAGTAATTTTTTGAGGCTATAGTATTAAAGAAATTTATGGCTCCATTATATATGGAAATGGGATCTGGAGAGCATATGATCATTGAAATCCACAGATAGTCCTTTACTTGAAGTCCTTTCTCAATGAGTTGAGGAACAAATAAATACAGATGGTCTTTACATCTTTTTTCTCTTAAGCCCTTACTTGCATTTCTTTCATGCCATTGTGTATTGTAGATTCTAAGATGTAAGAAAAAATAGCTTAAAAAGTGGCTCAACTGAATTTGAGCTCTGATTGCTTTGCAGACATTCAGTGGCTCCCAAATATACAGCAGAATAGTTAGATTCACTCTTTTGTAAGCGAGTGGCTTCAGTGATAATGATGGTATGGAAGATGATAATGAAAAACTACATTGGCTATTTATGGAAACACATTTTTATGTCTGAATGGGTACAGCCTAATCTTGTATACTGCTAGTATCCAGTCTGTAAGATTATTGTCATTGAAGGAATAAACTTGGCTCAACCATTTACTTCATTCCTTATCTCTCTCCTTTTTTGTTGTTTTTTTGAAGCAGGATCTTGCTCTGTTACCCAGGCTGGAGTGCAATGGCGTGAAGTTGGCTCACTGCAGCCTTGACCTCCCAGGCTCAAGTGATCCTCCCACCTTAGTCACCCTAGTAGCTGGGACTATGGACATGTGCCACCATGTCTGGCCATTTTTTTTTTATTTTTAGTGAAGATGAGGTCTCGCTGTGTTGCCCAGGCCAGTGTTGAACTCTTGGGATCAAGCGATCCTTCCGCCTTGGCCTTTCAAAGTGCTGGGATTACAGACGTGAACCACTGCCTCTGGCCTCTCTCTCTTCTTTCTTATAACCAGTCCAGTTACTCAGAGAATGCTCAAGCTCCATACCGTGGGTTGGTAGTTCTCATCCTTCTCTTTGTCTGAACTCCATCTCTGCTTTCCAGCTCTCTGAACTTCTCATCATTCCTCGTGCCCACCTGGCCTTCCACATCTCTCTCTACACACATTGGTCTTTTTGTTGGGAATGCCCTCTTGTTCACCTGGTTTCCTGATCTTTACAAACCCTATTCACAAGTCACTTCCTTTGCTGTAGTCTTCTTGATATCAATCCCCATCCTCCAGATGAAAGTTGTTCCTTCCTTTGTGCTTCCCTGTTTATGGCTTTATTGAGGCAGTTACAGAGTATTTTTATTGTTGATTTGTAAGCCTCTCTTCACTAGTTTGTAAACTCACTGAAAGTATAGATAGGGCCATTTTTGTATCCTTAGCATCTAACACAATGACTAATATGTATTATTATTATTTTTTTTTTTTATTTTTATTTTTGAGACGGAGTCTCGCTCTGTCGCCCAGGCTGCAGTGCAGTGGCGCGATCTCGGCTCACTGCAAGCTCCGCCTCCCAGGTTCATGCCATTCTCCTGCCTCAGCCTCCCAAGTAGCTGGGACTACAGTTGCCTGCCACCACACCCAGCTAATTTTTTTGTATTTTTAGTAGAGACGAGTTTTCACCATGTTACCCAGGATGGTCTTGATCTCCTGACCTCGTGATCCGCCCACCTCAGCTTCCCAAAGTGCTGGGATTACAGGCGTGAGCCACCGCGCCTTGCCAATATGTATTATTTATATGCTTTGTTGAAATAATTTTAACAAAATATATGTTTTTGTTGTTGTTTTCAAGTCTTTCCTTTCTGAGTAGGACTGTGCTATGTGTCCAGGGTTATAAGAAGTATAAGGATTGACCTAGACACTAAAAGGTTCATATTGTGTTTGGAAGAAAAAGAACACACAGGGAAAATGTTAAATAATTAAAGACAGTGAATGGTCCTACCACTGTTTTGGGAAAAAGAACACAGAGAAAGCATATAGGTCCTTAATAGAGAGCTAGGTAAAAGAGGTTTTATTTTAAAAAATAAAATAAAAGTCTACTAAAACTGAACTGCTAGACATAGGAGTTAGCTAATATTGTGAGAAAGGCAAGTCAAGCCAGAAGAATGTCATTAGAATGACAGTAAGAAAATATAGTTGTTATTAATAAGTAGTGGTGGCCAAGCATAAAAACACACATTTATGAGGGAGCCATACAAACTGAAGCCACACAATCAATCAGAAACACAGCTAAAGAAGATAAAGGTTAGGTATTAGGCAAGGAATATGTCAACAGGAAATTGAGAATGAACAGTATGGGGTCAGTGTTGTGGGGAAGGGAAAGGCAGGGAAGTTTGAAGAGCAGTTGAGAACAAAACACAAAGAACTAGTGAAAAGAACGACCTTGAAGCTAAGGCATTGCTTGCCCTAGGCTGGTAAAAAACATGCTCTCCTTCCTGCCAGGACTGGAGCGGATCAGCGTGTGACCAGCCCAGGGCTTGCTGGCGGAAGCAGGTGTGCCAACGAGTGAGCTGGTAATTAGGTTAAGGGGGAGAATGGGGAATTGCAGTAGAGCCAGATTGCGACAAGAGAGAGTAGTGGAGGAGGTAAGGAGGGAGACTCTTGAGGCAAAAGAATGGCAGAAAGGATGTGTGAAACAAGGTCCCAGTTTACATTTACCTAGTGCTTTCTCTTTCTAAGGCCCTAGGTCTGAAAGGGAAGGCCAAGCAGAGACAGTATCAGTTTCATAGGCCCCCAGGAGAGCACATAGCCACTGGCTTGACTTGCCTTTCTCACAATATTAGCTAACTCCTATGTCTAGTAGTTCAGTTTTAGTAGACTTTTATTTTTTAAAAGCATGAGATTTAAAAAAAACTGTTAAAAAATTATACTTGTAGAAATGTTTAGGATTTTTGTCATGCAATATAGTTAAAAGGTTTTCTACCTAAGGGGTATACATTAAATAGAGTTGTCTTAGAGTACTGTTTTAACACTTGCTTGTTTATGATACAGATAGGATGCAGGGAAATACTAGGTAAAAGAGGGCGGTTCCCCATCAAAGGCCCAATCCTCAAGCCTAGAAACCCATGGCCTTAAATGGGAACAGGCATTCCTGTTTTTGCGCCCACATGTTGCTTTTTCCAAGGCCACTGTGGCTTGCCACATCCCTACCTCGAGCCCATATAAACCCTAAGCTCCGCGAGTCACGAGTAGAGAAAAAGAGGAGCAGAAGAGCAGCAGAGTGGCAGAGCTGTGCAGCAGAGAAGGAGAGAAGAAAGGGAGCATCTGAACGTTGAGAGTTCGGCTGGGGGTGGTTGGAGAAGAGATTGGCCAGGGGACAGCCGAACTCCAGGGGAAGACCATCTTCCCACTCCATCCTCTTTCCAGCTCCCCATCCATCCTGCAGAGATCCACCTGCACCACTCAATAAAATCCTCACATTCACCATCCTTCAAGTCCGAGTGACCTGATTCCTCCTGGATGCCAGACAAGGACCCGGGTACCAAGAGGAGAGGGTGTAAAAGGCTGTCACCCCAACTCTCCACTGGGCTGGTTTAACACTTAGCCATCCATGAACGGCAACTACTTAAAAGGGCATTAATTGTAACACCCCTAGATGCTACTATGCGGCCAGAGACCAAAAGCGCTTACCCTGGCTCCTGCACCTGCCCATCTGCATGCTCCCCATTCCATAAGGGGTTTGTGCGAGCAACAGGGCTGACCTAGCAGAGGAGTCACACCCCTGTTGTAAGACCCATGAGAGGGTTAGGGAACGCTCGCTTCATTGATAAAAATCACCTGAGGTGCTTGTTGGACAACAGAGATTTCTAAGCCTTACCACAGACTTATAGAAACTAAATCTCTAGAGCAAGCACCTAGGAATTCATGTTCATAAGCATCCTAGGTACTTCTTGTGATTAGGCAGTTTGGGATAAATATTGCCTGTGTCAAGTGAAAGACTTTTAAGTCCTTCTTGTAGGTCAAGGATTATAGTGCTTAATTTCTAAGTCATGGTCTTGATTGTACTCCGGTTCCTACTTTGAGAGGTTACAAAGGAAGGTTTACTGTATTCTCCCATTTCTACCAGTAGTTTAACACAGGGGTTCTCAACTCCAGGTGATTTTATTCCCCAGTGGACATTTAGCAATATCTGGAGACATGGAGACACTTTTGGTTGTCAGGCTGTTCATGTGGGCACTATAGGTGTCTAATGAGTGGAGAGGTCAGGGATAATGCTAAATATTCTACAGTGCACAGGACAGCCTCCTACAAACAAAGAATGATCTGGGCAAAAGTATCAATAGAGGACCCTGGCCCTAAGGTCTGTCAGTATTAATTAATACATAAACCATTTAATTAGTTAATAAAATCTTAAATTGATGTATAATATATATCCCATGTCACCGACATCCATATTAAAATGTAGAATATTTCCAGCACTCAGTGCTTTCTTGTACCCTCTTCCAGTTGATACCCATTCCCCCTTAGAAATCATTATCCTGATTTCTGTCATCATAGATGACTTTTGCTTGTGCCTGAACTTTATATAAATAGAATCATACAGTATGCACTCTTTTATGTCTGACCTCTTTTACTCAACATTGTGTCTGAAAGGTATATTCCTGGTGTTGCATACAGCAGAAACTTGCCCTTTTTTATTCTTGTAGTATGTATACTGCAATTTAGTTCTCCATTTACTGCTGATGGGCTTTGTATTGTTACAAACTTGTGATTAATATGAATAAAGGTGTTATGGACATTTTTGTGTATGTCTTTTGGTGGACGTAGGCTATCATTTCTATTGCATATATGCCTAGGAGAGGAATTGCTAGGTCTTTGGATAGCATTGGTTTGGGCTTACTAGATACTGCCAGGTTTCCAGAGTGTTGGACCAGTTTCTACTCCCACCAGCAATGTGTGACAGTTCTAATAGCTCTACATTCTTCTTAGTATGTAATATTGTAAGTTCTTTCATTTTAGCCATTCTTGTAGGGAATGTATTTGTATCTCATGGAGGTTTGAATTTGCATTTTGCAGATGACTAATGATGTGCTAAGCACCTTTTCATATGCATTGGCCATTTGGATGTTATCTTTTGTGAAGTGCTTGTTCAGATCTTTTGCCCATTAAAAAAATTGTCTTATGATTTGTAGAAGTTCTTTAAATATTCTGGATATGTGTCCTTTTTCAGATATGTATTGCAAATCCATTCTTCTAGTTTGTTGCTTCGATTTTCATTCTCTTTTGAGAAATAGAAGCTCTTAATGAAATACAATTTATCAGTCTTCTATTATATTAGTGCTTTTGTATCCTTTCTAGGAAATCATTGCTTATCCCAAACACCTGAGGTCTTTGGATGCTCAGGTTTCTGTTAGCTCAGCACTTTGTAGTGAACCAGATTTATTTATAGATATTATGGCTTTCTTTGTTTGTTTTGGTCTAATCCACATGGTTTATATTGGACACTAAGCCTATGTGAGAGCTGGGAGTGGTGCATGCCTATAATCCTAGCTACTGGGCTGAGGTAGGAGGATGGTTTGAGCTCAAGAGTGTGAGGCCAGCCTGGGCAACATAGTGGGACCCTGTCCCCAGGAAAAAAAAAAAGCCTATATGAGTAGCAGATTAATATTTATATATGTATTATATATATGCATTAGAAGAGAAGTCCTTTTGCTTCTTGAGTTAGGCAGTTGATTGGTTAATATTTTTGTTAAAGCAGGGTATCAGAAAGGATACATTTCCTAAACATTTTAAGCTAACCTTTTGCTAGGCTTTTGGGGTAGGTCCACATCAAGGCTGTGTCTTTACATATGGGTGCATTAGTGACAGTGGAGACTCTTCGGTTTTTTGACTATATCATACCTTAAAAGTACCTTTAGTGTTAGTGAGAATGTAAAGATACTTGTGAATTGGTTAGAGTTCAAAGTCATCCTAAAGTTTTATCATTTTTCCTCATTTTATTTTATGATTGTTTTGTCTGCACTTGATTTGACGATTTCTCATTTTAGTGAATTAAAAAAAGTATATATTTTAAAAATTCTATTTATGTTCGCAGGCTGGACTTGAACTCCTAGGCTCAAGGGATCCTCCTGCCTCAGTCTCCCAGGCAGCTGGGACTATAGACCTGTCCCACGGCACTTGGCTTGGTTAATTTTTTGTTTTGTGTCCTGTAAGACTTTTTTTTTAAACTCCAATTTTATTAGCTTACATATATTTAATTACATAAATATAATTATAATCGTTGTATAGTAAGCACAAATAGGACTGGGGACAAACACAGTTGACTTATAACCATAGGGTTCAATTCAGGACAGAGATATCTAGGTGTACGGAGTGGGGGCCCCTAGCTATCCATAGCCAGCGGGCTGTGGGCACATGGAACATGCATGTTTTACAGAGGCAGTGGAGTGTGAGGGTTAATTCATCGACTTATTTAGAGGATGGTGGATGAAGGTTCTCCAGTTCTCATTGAGCTGTGTAGTTGGAAAGATAGGATGGGAGGGAGGGAAAACCAGATATTTTGATCTTTCTGATCAGTTACATAGAATCTCTACCTTCTCTAACTGAAGAATCAGAAGCAGATGAAAGAGTAGTCATATATTTAACTAGGGAAAGCATTTATATATTCATGTTTACATTTTTCCCAGAGAGTACTTAATTTTTAAATTTGAAATAGTAGCTTGGGATTAGACAGAGGAATCTAACACCTATGAAAGGTTATATTGGAGTACATTTACAATGTAGTTATGTAAAGGACTTTACAGATTGTATTTCAAAAGAAAAAATATATACCTTTAGATCAGATCATTATAAACCCTGGGAAAAAGGACTGGGGATTTGTGTGTTCTTGTTAGGTCTTGCTTGTTAGTATCTCCAGACATCCTGTACTAACATGCCAAAATCCACCCCATAAATTCTGTTGGAAAGCGACCTGCTGCCAGTTTGAAGCTGCCTATTGCTTAATAAAGTCTAGCAGTTTCTATATGTTTTCTGCAGAAACTGAATAAATATAGCAAGGTAGAATCTGTATTTAATTTTGGATCTGATAACATCTTTTACTTAAAAGTTGGAAGCAATTTTTGCATGCAGCTGTAATTTCATGTGAATCGTATTTTTAAATATTGAGGATAAATCTTGTAAGAATTTAAAATGGAACATTTATGCTAACATTTATATTAATCTTTTTATCAAAGCCTGGAAAGAACCCTATTAAATAGCAGGAGTAGGTATTTTAAATAACATTTCAGAATGTTAGATTGTCTACTTTCTTTTAATAAGTCACAATAGAGGCCAGGTGCCATGGATCACACCTGTAATCCCAGAACTTTGGGAATATAAGGCAGAAAGATCACTAATATATTTTTATTTTTGTTTTTGTAGACATGAGGTCTTGCTGTGTTGCCCAGGCTGGTCTTGAACTCTTGGGCATGGTGGCACACCTGTAGTCCCAGGCTCCCAGGGGGCTGAGGTAGGAAGATTGTTTGAGCCTGGAGGGTGGAAGCTGCAGTGAGCCATGATCATACCACTGCACTTCAGCCTAAGCAAGAGAGCAAGACTTTGTCTCAAAAAAAAAAAAAATAGAGATTTATTACAGGATGGATTATTAGAAATAATTGTATTTTTACAGAATATTCCTTTTATTTTCATGTTTGTTTCATTTATTATTGGCAATGCCAGGTAACAGGATCCACATATGATTTTTCTTTTTCGATATTATTAAATAAGAATTTTTTTTTTTTTTTGAGACAGAGTCTTGCTCTGTCCTCCAGGCTGGATGGCAGTGGCACTATCACGGCTCACTGCAACCTCTGCCTCCCGGGTTCAAGAGATTCTGCCATCTCAGCCTCCTGAGTAGCTGGGATAACAGGCACATGCCACCACCCCTGGCTAATTTTTGTATTTTTAGTAGAGACGGGGTTTTGCCATGTTGGCCAGGCTAGTCTTGAACACCTGACCTCAAGTGATTCACCCACCTTGGCATCCCAAAGTGCTGGGATTACGGGTGTGAGCCACCGCGCCCAGCCAAGAATCTTTTTAAAATAGAAAATGTTTTTTCTACCTAGTGGAAGTATACATACATATATATATAACTACACTTATAATTAATATTTTTAAGGAGATTGAATAACTTGGTTTAAATATGTCTGAGTGGAACTCAACTATTTGGCAGTATTTATGAAGAAGAAAACATGACTCGGTGAAGAATTCAGATTTAAGTTTTAATTGCATAATGTTATTATTGTATTAAAAATAAAGGCTATGATATATGAAATATATTGCTTGTTCGATATCCTTTGGAAATTTGAATGGTCAGAAACACCTTGTTAAACTAAACATATTGGTTAAACTCTAATGTGCTGCTCAGTGCTTGAGGATACTTGAAAGCAAGAAAAATGCTACCTAAAAATCTTATTTATACTATTTATAAAGTAATATAATATAAAATTTAATTAATTCAGGAATTATGTATTATGACTGCTTTGTGCCAGGAATGTTAGAAATATGAAGAATAAACCTCACAGAAGCTGATAGGAATTTTAATGCATTTGAAAATAATTTTCTTGAAATTTTGCTTATTTTTGGCAGAAAAGACTAAAACCTACCATTGCCAACATTTTTATAAATGTAATTTTATGGGTTTATTAAACCTGTATTTATTGAGCCCTAGGCCCTCGAGACGCTATCCCCTGACGGCCGCCTCAGGCTTCCTCATCACAACAACAGCCACACCAAAAGCTGGAAACAGACACTTTAAAAAGAGAAAAAAAGACTTCCATGTGACATGTCTATGTCACCACACCTAAAATTGTTATCTCTCTCCTGTGACCTAGATAATTACTTCACTCCTCCGTATCACTCATATATCAGGGATTGAAGCCTTTTATGATTTAATACCGTATAGTTCAACTTTCACCAGTTTCTTTGTTGAAAATCACTTACGGCAATTTGTAAAAACTTCTGTGGAATGGTTATGCAATGGAATGTGGGTTAATGTTTAGTCATCGAAATTAGTTGGCAGGTTCTTAGAAAACTGTGAAATAAAAATAAATTTTCTATAAAACATTTTCTCATTATTATTGCTTTTACTGCTACCATTAATAAAGGTTTCAAGTTATATTCCCACATTTTTAATTAATGTCTTAATTTAGCTTTGTCAACCAATATGACAAGTTTTACAAAGATAGGCTCACAGTTTTATATATACGCTCATAGTTTTATCAAGATATGTTCATGTCATATATCCATAGTTTCTGGATACATGCAGCTTTCATATACTAATTAGGGTTATTTTTGGTCATAAACTCCAAGATAGTATCTTTATTTACTATGGAGGAAATGCAAAAGCTAATCTAATTTCCAATTTCTAGGCAGACAGTAACATTTACTGAGTAATCCCCAGCATTATAAACTGATTTTAAAGCACCTTTAATAAACAGCGAGTTTACTTGGAAGGAAGGATAAACATGAAGATGTACTTTAAAAATATAAGCAACCAAAAAAAAAGTCAAAACTTAAGTAAGTGGTGTAATGAAATCAGTCAAAAGAAAAATAACACAATACTAGTCAAAATATGGTCCAAAAGAAATTTACTCACTTAAAATTACATCTTGTACTAAAGAATTAATTTACAGATGTCATCAAAAAATATAAAATTAATTGAAGTACAATAGTTTAAACACTAGTAATTATTTGGTTTGCTTCACAGGAAACAGCCAAGTGTCAAAACAATTATCAGTTTTTTGGTTAAATGCTCCTTTTAATATATATACACATTTGTTATATAAAATATATATTGCATGCATATATTTAGTGTATATTATATTTATTACAAATATATTTTTATAACACATTATGTATAACTATATAAATTATAATATAGAGCACATATAAATATACATAGAAAAGCTTTTGGAGTTTTTTTTTGAGATAGGAACTTGTTCTATTACCCAGGCTGGAGTGCAGTGGTGCAATCATAGCTCACTACATCCTCAAACTCCTGGGCTCAAGGGATCCTCCCACCTCAGCCTCCCGAGTAGCTAGAACCACAGGCTTGCACCACCATGCCTGGCTACATTTTTTATATTTTGTAGAGATGGAGTCTCACTCAAAATATGTATTATAAATATTAATATATATGTTATATATTTAACAAAATATGTAATATTACATATCTATATTACAAATAGCCAAGTTAAATGAAAACAGTCCTAGAATGTATGCTTAATAAGTAACAGAAAAAAATTATCTACTGACTCTTAAATACAGCATTTGATTACAAGAAAAAGATGCACATAATAATAATAGTTATTATTTTATAGAGCACCTTTTATGTGCAGACACTGCGAGGCACTTTTTTTCGCTCTAATAAGTAGGTACTATTCACTCCATCTTATGGACAAGAAAAGTGAGTCTCAAACAAGTTAAGTGATTTACCCAAACCACATAATTAGTGGCAGAGAAAAGTTCTGAATTAAGAGCTCTTCATGCGCACTGCAATGCAAATACGGTAAAGAAATGGTAATAGATCAATTTTGCAGGCACCTAATAAAATAAGACATACTATACTTTTGGGGGAAATAGAAGGACGCTTGAAAAGAATTTGGCTGGCCTTTGTCCTAGCTCCTGAGTGGTAACTTCTAAATCCCTGGACTCTTCCTATTGATAGGAGTATCTTTGTTATTCATGGTGGGACCCTCAAACTACACTTGATAGTTTATGCTAACGAGGGGGCTCACAGTGGGCCCTAGATAGTTTATGCTAATAAGAGGACTGAGAATGGAGAATGGCCAAGCTAGAAAGACTAACCATGTGATTAAAGGTGGGGCTTGTGGCCACCAGGTGATATCAGCCTGACCTTTGGGGAGGTGGGAAGGGCTGAAGATTGAGTTCAACCATATGTCTAATGACTCAATTAATCATGCCTATTTAAGGAAGCCTCAATACAAACTCCAGACACTTAGGTTCTGGTGGGCTTACCTGGCTGGCAGTATTCTCTGCATATTGTCACAAACCGATGCTCCAGGAGGAAAATTAGAGTATCGATCACAGTGTTATACACTTATAAAAAGAGGTCAAAGTTACCAATTTCGTCCTTTCTATTTGAAATTTCCTGGAAAAAAAGCCAGAAAACATATCTGCATGTATCCGTATGGGTGTGATAAAACTTAAATAAATGTCAAAGTTGCTATCAAAAGACTTAATACTAAAGGGCTTTTTTTGAAAGTATAAAGCAAATGAAAAGGCAACAGTAACATCTGAAACATAACACGTGTCAGGAATGTTGCTATTACACTAAATGAAGTACACCTCTGGAGGAAAACGGAAATTCTGACACCGCATCATAATGAAGAAAAACAAGGAAAACAATTAAAAGAAATGAATGGCAACTATGGCCACTGTGAGGTAAAGTAGGGCTCAATAAATACAGGTTTAATAAACCCATAAAATTACATTTATAAAAATGTTGGCAATGGTAGGTTTTAGTCTTTTCTGCCAAAAATAAGCAAAATTTCAAGAAAATCATTTTCAAATCCATTAAAATTCCTATCAGCTTCTGTGAGGTTTATTCTTCATATTTGTGTGTATCCACACAAAACAATATAAAATGTATCAGAGTTCATTTATTTGGAATCATCCATAGGACCCCACGGTACCACTGGCAGTCTACTCCTAAATGACTACAGAATGTAAAAAATACACATTAAAACTATGTACATTTGGCTGGGCACGATGCCTCATGCCTATAATCCCAGCACTTTGGGAGGCCAAGACAGGTGGATCACTTGAGGTCAGGAGTTCAAGACCAGCCTCGCCAACATGGTGAAACAGTCTCTACTAAAAATACAAAAAAGTAGCCAGGTGTGGTGGTGCATGCCTGTAATCCCAGTTACTCGGGAGGCTAAGGCAGGAGAATAGCTTGAACCCAAGAAGCGAAGCCTGCAATGAGCCGAGATCACACCACTGCACTGTAGCCTAGGCAACAGAGCAAGACTCCATCTCAAAAAAAAAAAAAAAACTATGTATGTTAAAACTGTGTGTGTGCGCGTCTGTGTGTGTGTGTGTGTGTGTGTTGCAGTTTCACTTTCAGGTTTCAGTTACCTGTGGTCAAGCGTGGTCCAAAAATATTGCATACAATAAGATATTTTGAGAGAGAGACCACAGTCACATCTTTTATTACAGTATATTGTTACAGTTGTTCAATGTTATCATTAGTTGTTATTGTTAATCTCTTACTGTGCCTAACATAAATTAAACTTCGTCATAGGTATGTACGTATAAGAAAAAAAATTGTGTGTGTGTGTATACACACATATGGTTCAATATATATATGTGTGTGTATACATATATATACACACATATATACACACACACATATGGTTCAATAATATTCAATAATATTGCAGTTTTAGGCATCCACTGGGGGTCCTAGAGCATATCCCTGAGGACACGGGGGGATTACTGTATACAACACACGTTAGTATTATATGTGTTAATATTAGGTAATGTAAGTGTGATTGATATATAATTATCATCAGATATGTATATAATTATATATATATAAGTCAAATATGTGAATGCATATACATGATTCTCCCCTTTGTGTATGTGAATTTCAAAAACTGCTATGAGTGTCACTTTCACATTTTAGGAGGCAATAACTGGAGCAGCTTTTATAAAATTTCACATAATCTGCTATAATTTCAAAGACTGGTTTCATTCATTTTTAAAGAAGCAGTTGCTAAAGTTTATTATTTACTAAACATGACCTGGGGAAGTATATTAGGTCAATTACAGAAAACTGCCTATTTGTATATATTGATTTACTTTCTCATTACTAAAATATTTTGTTTCTTTTTTAATAAGTCTACTCATTTCACATGCTTTAGGAGTTAGATTTTTAGCCATTCATCTACGGTGTTTGGTTAAAAACACCGTATAAAATACTCATTTTAATTAATATGTTCACTACAGAGCATAAAGTGGAGTTTTTTTATGGTGTTTTTGTTGTTGTTGTTATTGTTTTTTTTTTTTTTTGAGACGGAGTTTCGCTCTTGTTACCCAGGCTGGAGTACAATGGTGCAATCTTGGCTCACTGAAACCTCCACCTAACGGGTTCAAGCGATTCTCCCACCTCAGCCTCCCGAGTAGCTGGGATTACAGGATGCGCCACCACGTCTGGCTAATTTTTTGTATTTTTAGTAGAGACAGGGTTTCTCCATGTTGGTCAGGCTGGCGTTGAACTCCCGACCTCAGGTGATCTGCCCACCTTGGCCTCTCCATAAAGTGTTTTTTAAAACATGGGAAACAAATTTTCACATAAATGCAATGTAAAAACACTGCATCCAACTTGAAAGAAAGAGACCTCTGTCCCAGCTCATTCACTTGTTCGTTCATTCAGTAAACTTTTATTAAGCATTTACTCCAATGAAGACCCTGTAGAAGACAGCATGAATACAAGAGTGATTAAAGTAGTCACTGTAGAACAGCAGTCCCCAACCTTTTTGGCACCAGGAAGAGGTTTCATGGAAGATAATTTTTCTGTGGACTGGTGGCGGGGATGGTTTTGGGATGATTCAAGAGCATTACATTTATTGTGCACTTTATTTCTATTATTATTATTACATTTTAATATATAATGGAATAATTATATAACCTACCATAATGTAGAGTCAGTGGGAACCCTGAGCTGGTTTTTTTGCAACTAGACAGCCCTATCTAGGCATGATGGGAGACAGTGACAGATCATCAAGCATTAGATTTTCATAAGGAGCCTGCAACTTAGATCCGTCACATGCACAGTTCCCAATAGGGTTCTTGCTGCTATGAGAATCTAATGCTGCTGCTGATCTGACAGGAGGTAGAGCTCAGGCAGTAATGTGAGAGATAGGGAGTGGCTGTACATACAGATAAAGGTTTGCTACCTCACCTGCCGCTCACCTCCTGCTGTGACGCCTAGGTCCTAACAGGTCACTGACCAGTACTGTTTTTATATATGTGTGTGTGTGTATATAAAGTATACGTATATGTGTGCATATATATATATAAACAGTACTGGTCAGTGGCCTGTACACACACACACACACACACACACACACACACACATTCACACTATGCATGCCCATCAGCTTATGATCTGATGTCCCTACAGCATCGCAGCCTTCAGTATCCTCATCTATGAAAATATAAGTAACAATAAGAATCTGTTTTAGCATTTATATTAGAAGAAAGTGTTAATGATTACACCTAGGGCTTACAAGTATGTAATGAAACTGGAACTCGCATAAACTGCTAGTTGCACTGCAAATTATGAAAATCTTTAGCAACAGCAACTTGAAAATAGGAGTATAGAACCAATAAAAATCTACCTTAATCCTTCCATACTTCTACCGTTGATATAAGTTTACCAAATCTACTAAATACTTTCTCCCTATAAATATCCTCCAGTTATTTCTACATTTGTCACCCATCAAGTCCACCGACTAAAAGTAACTCCTGTAACCACGTGCAACAGTTGTATATCTTTGTGCACAGTGAGGCTTTTATTTTGTAACACCTACACTTTGTTGCCTAATATATAAAAAGATCTTAGCCTTCAATCTATAATATTCCACCCTTAACTGCAAAACATATCCCTGGCACAACCTGTTCCCACCCCCTCAGGTCCTGCTGAGGGTGCTTCCTTGGCCACCACAATTCCTGCTGATGGGACATTTTAAGGGCTTCCTTGCAATCTCTTACTTCACCTGTTTGTTAAAAAAAAAAATTATATGGACTAATTTGAGATCAACCTAGTAGTAGAGGTCAAATATTTATAGTTTTGCTACCTCTAAAATCTGCTTTTATTGAAGGTTATTACAGAAAAAGCCATATTACAAATGCTTCAGTATACACTGTGAAACTGCGGTTGTTCAATGTCACATCAAGTCCCAATTGAGAAATTTCATTTAGAATTCAGTGTCAAGAAAAACTGTTTCCACTGAGGTGCTGGAATTATTCTCTGCTTTTGGATAATTTATCAGATGTACCTTTATGCTCTGTTGCTGGAAAGCTTAAGTGTCAAACCTAATGTTGAATAAAAACTACGTTAACACATGTTGATTTCATGTTAGCTTCTTTCTCCTTTCCTTGGTTCTGATCTTCCATTTCTATTTTATTAATAGCCTTAATGAGAAGCCACTCCCAAGCTTTTTTTAGAAAGAAGCACAGCACAAATAAACTCCATAAATAAATTTAAAAGTACAACACAGTGATGAAAGTGTTCTGGAACTAGATAGAGGTGATGCTTGCACAACATTACGAATGTTCTAAAAGCTACGGAATCGTCTCCTTTATTTAAAATAGTTCACTCTATAAGAATTTTACCTAAATTTTTTAAAGTGCAGCATAATTCCAGCAAATAGCATATGGGTAGCATGAAACAATCATATTACATTCTTCTCATTTTCACTGTGGTGTTTGGAGAGAAAATTAATCTCCCCTCTGCCATGTGAACTGTCTGTCTCCCCTGCTACTACTTATGTTCCAGTATCATTTTCCGCTGCTCAGCTTATGTCAAAAATACTTAAACATTCTGTTAGGCCAGCGGTTTCCAAACCAGCCTGGTTCTGGAGCTCAGAGAATTTTTTTTCAAAAGATGTCTTTCAGAGAATACCAGCACATAAATCAAATAAAACCAGCTGCTCTGTAACTTAAAATTATCCGAAATAACTTTTTAAAAACAAAAATGTCTAGGCTGTGACTCAGGCTTGTTGAATCGGCAATCATCAGATTATGAATATGATAGTAAAGTGTTTTCCAGCAATATTGCACAACTTTTGATTTGCTTACATTTTTTTAGGGAGTAGTGTGAATGGTAAATAACATTTAGACTTGAAACATTTTCTATCTTAAATCAATGTATGTCACATGTTGGTAAATTGTAAGCTTTGCCAATATGAATTTTTTTCTTTCCTTTTATACCAGTAACAGATAACAAATTAGATGAAACTAGTATTACCACTGCTACATTTTACTCTGGGTGAGATTGTTGATTTTAGTGCTCCATGACCTTATTTTATAGAAGATTTTACAGTTTAGAAAGGATTTTGCATATACGATCTCAGTGGATTCTTAGAGTGGTTTCTGAGGAAAATACAACAATAGATGATGTTATATTTTTGGTGCAAATGAGAAAATAATGTGCCCAAGGTCTATAGCTAATTCATATTTGAGTATCTACAACAAGCCCAGTGTGTCATGTAGACAAGGAAATGTGCTGTTCTAGATATTTTGAGACATTAATTATTCAATAACCACTTGAGTATTTTTGAGAATAGTTCCATGCACTGTTCTATGTGTTGTATGGAATAGAGTGATGTACAGTATATACACATAGATTATTTAAATTTCTGTTAATATGTAAAACTAAGAAATAGCAGTTACCTGTGTGATTATCTTCTCTGGTGTCTGCGTGATATTATTAGAAAATTCCAGTTTCGGTGTAGTATGAGGAAAAAGCATGGGCTTTAGGGTTCATCTTGTCCTGGGGCTAACACTTGACTCTTCCAATGGTTAAGTGTCTGTGACCTTGGGCGAGTGACTTTTTTGGGGGTGTTATTTGGAAAATTGAGATTAATATAGCTATTCTTATAGATTTTATGAGGGTAAATGATGTAATGTACATAAAATGCCTAGAAAACTGGCTGGCCCATAGTAAGCAATTAATAAATGAAAGCCATTAATATCATTTTTTCCAATATTGAAATAAAAAGTAGAGAAATGTAGACCCATGGGTCATGATTAATTTATATTATAAAATAAAATATTAACACACCACCAACACAGAATTTGAAATACAGGTTTATGAACAAACATCCAGACTGCAGTGATAAATGATCAACCCCAGAGCCAGGGGTATTGTCTTTTATTTACTCGTTGTCCTTTGAGTTGTTTTGTAAGTGTTAAGGTGGCTTACAGAAAAGCTGGAGAATGTACCATTGTTGTTTTAAATCCAGGATTCCAGATTTCATCAGGGTGTGCAGTAACACCAAAAGACATGAAACATGAACAACAATGTCTTATTTATAATGTGAAATTATTAAACTTTTGATCACCTTGTTTTTTCCATTCCCTTGGACTTTATTATTATCTTATCTAAATTATGATCACAGCATTTAATTTTCTACTAAAGAGTTAGAGGCCAGGAAAGGTGGCTCAAGCCTGTAGTCCCAGCCCTTTGGGAGGCCAAAGAGGGGCGATCGCTCAAAGCTGGGAGTTTGAGACCAGTCTGGGCAACAAAACAAGACTCTACAAAAATACCTCAATGAGCCGAGCATGGTGGTGAATGGTGGTGAGTGCCTGTAGTCCCAGCTATACAGGAGGCTGAGGTGGAAGGATCTCTTGAGCTCAGGAGTTCAAAGTTGTAGTGAGCTATGATGACACCTGACTGCGCTCCGCTTTCGCAACAGAACAAGACTTTATCTTAAAAAAGAAAAAAGAATTGTATCATTTGCTTCTTACAGCTACATTTTTCCACCTTTCCCTCCACAACTAAATGTATGTTCTTTAGCTTTTGGGTATATCCAATATCAGCAGTTACTTTGCCTTTGTCCTCTGTTACCCTAGCATCTACAGCTTTTTTTTTTTTCAGATGGATATTTTTTTCTACTATCTGCTTATAAAATGCTTTAAGAAGACTATGAAAGTTATCCTGTTGTCACGTCTGTATCTTCTTCTGATTCCCAGTACTTGGATTTCAAAGTAGCTGGTAGTCGTTAAGTGCTTGGCAAGGTAGGTGGAAGACCATGTTAAACATTCACCTTGGCTTTTCCTGGTCTCTGCAGTTGTGGTAGCTGTGATTCTGAGTAGGGACAGGGCTTGGTGGCAGATACAGGACAGTGTTCTCAGGGGAATCTATTGTCCCTTTAAGGTGAAGGAAAGCGAAGTTGACTGGAAAAAGCCTCCCTGTTAGTTTGGATTGACATTCTTCCTTTTTCTTTCTTTGAGAATCACGGATGTAGAGACAGGGAAGGTGGGACGTCTCTTCTGACTGCTGTGTCAGCTGTATGTTCTGCGTTAGAAGGGTGCCTGGAAGGCAGTGTTTGATAGGTGTTTTATTATCTGCTAGGGAATCCCAGCCCCTCTGTATATTCTAGACGTGTTATGATGAGAACTCGTCCAACAATTTCCCTGATCTTACCCACACTTGGCAGTGTGCTTTGATTTAGATATAATTAAATTTTTGCATTATTTAATGCTGTATGGAATACTTTCAGGGGATTATAACAAAAATACTCAAACACATGAAATGAGATATCTGCTCAGTCTAGGTACTTTTGTGTTTCTAATTCTTATTTTTATGTTCCTTTAGAAACTCTGTGACAATTCTTGCCTTTTCATTCTTCATAGCTAACCTCTACAGGGAAAAAAGTAGTTGTGCAGTTATTTGTCAGTGAAATGTCCTAGCCGCTGTTGGCATTCACTTGTGCATCTGGCTGCATCCAGCTGGGGGCCTCTAAACTGAAGTAACTAATTACTTGCCTAAGCCCAGAGGAGCTACGATAAACTTCATCAAATAAACAGAGCAATGAAGCCCAGAGGAGCTACAATAAACTTCATAAAATAAACAGAGCAATGATACATGTAGCAGTTTATCACCTCTGGTGCCTTTCTTCAGGTTAAGTGGTGATTCTGTTTTTAGTATAGACTAGGCAGAGAGAAGAGGCACAGACAGGACATGGAGTTTGGACTGTTTCTGTTTTCTTTTTCTGCTCTGTTCTGTTTTCTTTTTTCGCTCTGTTACTCACTGACTTTTCTTTTCTTTCTTTCTTTCTTTTTTTTTTTTTCCGAAACCGAGTCTCGCTCTGTTGCCAGGCTGGAGTGCAGTGGCGCGATCTCGGCTCACTGCAACCTCCACCTCCCGGGTTCAAGTGATTCTCCTGCCTCAGCCTCCCAGGTAGCTGGGATTACAGGTGTGCACCACCACGCCCAGCTAATTTTTGTATTTTTAGTAGAGATGGGGTTTCACCATGTTGGCCAAGATGGTCTCGATCTCTTGACCTTGTGATCTGCCTGCCTCGGCCTCCCAGAATGTTTTTTTTTCCCCTACCAAATCCCTGACACTCAAACTTAAATGTTAGTTTTAGACTATATGATTCCAGAACAAAATTTAAGTGATTTTGAATTTGTTTTCTGTTTTGGGATATTCATAGCATTGTTTTATTTCATTATTGTTATTAGAATCTTAAAAATAATCATCATAATAAACCCCACTAATGTTTATTGAGAACTGGTTATTTGCTAGATTCTCCTCTGAACACTTAAAAAAACTTAGTTCTAAAATGATTCTGTGGTAAGTTTTGTTATTAGCCTAATTTCACAGATGAAGAAACTGAGGTTTTAAGATGTTAACTGTAAAAGAGCATTTGCCAGAAACTAACTAAATACCACTCCCTCCTCTTTGAGATGTAACATTTTTCTTTTGAGGTTACCCTATATTATTGAGGAGGTTAAAAAGAGTACATACATAGTATATATTATGATGTTTATAAATTGCCCAAATGTTTTCTGAAACCATTATTTGAGTAGCTCTGAAATGGAAATTATGACTACTCATTTTAATTAAGTGCTTTAAGCTTAGTTGTCTTCAGCACGTTAATTGAGCATAAACATTGAGTGCAGCTACACCATGCCATTGGATACAAAGAAGTGTTACAGAGTCTAATTTGTCTTCTTAGAGGTAAAACAGACATGTATACAATTAAGTTGTAATGTAGATCAGACTGTGATGGTTGCTGTAATTCGGAGTTGGGGTACTGTAATGGGAACAGAGAGAATGAAGTTACTGATTTTACTGGCAGGACTGGGGAAGGCTGAAGGGTTGTCATTCTGTTTCTGAGTTAACTGATCCTGTTAGATCATGCAGTTTTAAATTGGTTCAAAATTTTATGACTACTTAGTTTTCCAACTCTATAGGTGCTGTGTGCAATCTATACATGTGCATAGACGTTCCTGGGCTATGGAAGATAAAAAATCATATTTTTAGATTTCAAAAGTAATCTTTTTAGAGATATTAAAAATATAGTGCTTTTAAGTTACTCAAGGGGGGAAACTATTTGAATTTTTTTGGTAAGAATACAATTTCCTTTTTAATTTTTCGAGATTGATTAGATATTCAAAAAGTATACACATAATAATTAGGTTTCTTTTTTTTGGTTCCTATTCTTGAAGATATGGTTTCCAGATGAGTCCCTTAAAGTAGAAAGCTGCTTACATTGTAAACATTTTACATGTTTTTTTAATAGAATTCTATAGTTTCATATATTTCAAAGGCACTAATCATGCCTTGTACCCCCTCCTCCTTGTTTTTTGAGACAGAGTCTCACACTGTTGCCCGAGCTGGAGTGCAGTGGTGCGATCTTGGCGCACTGCAACCTCTGCCTCCCAGGTTCAAGTGATTCTCCTGCTTCAGCCTCCCAAGTGGCTGGGATTACAGGTTCCCGCCACCATGCCTGGCTAATTTTTTGTGTTTTTAGTAAAGACGGTATTTCACTATGTTGGCCAGGCTGGTCTCAAACTCCTGACCTCATGATCCACCTGCCTTGGCCTCCCAAAGTGTTGGAATTACAGGCGTGAGCACCGTGCCTGGCCTGTCCTCTTTTTTAAAAAAATCACATAGCATTTAGCACAGCACCAGCCTGAAAGAAGGTAAATGTTCACTGAATTTTTATAAATTAATATTAAAATATGGTGATGGTCTGGTGCAGTGGCTCACATTTGTAATCCCAGCAGTTTGGGAGGCTGAGGCAGGAGAATCACTTGAGGCCAGGAGTTTGAAACCAGCCTGGACAACATAATGAGACCCTGTCTCTACAAAAAAAAAAAAAGAAACAAATAAAACCCAAAGTAGCTGGGTGTGCTGGTACGGGCCTGTAGCCCTGTCTACTCAGGGGGCTAAGCTGGGGGGATCCCTTGAGCCTAGGAGCTCAAGGTTACAGTGAGCCATTATCACACCACTGCATGCCAGCCTGGGCATGCAGTGACACCCTATCTCTATAATTTTTTTTTTAAAAAATAGTAAAAATAAATATGGTGATATAAACATAGGGCCCTTAACAATTGGTTCCCTCTTCAATATGTATTCCTTCATGTTCAGTCTAGTCTTGATGTCCTTCACAGCTCAGTGTTTTTTTTTCCTTCTAAAATTTAACTGTGTCAATTACTTCACTGCTTAAAACCCTCCTCTGTTTTCTCTTTGCTTGAAGGATAAAGTCCAGTTTTTTGCCTGGCTTACTGCCCACTTCATGATATAATCTGGCCCAGCTTAACCTCAGACTTCTCCAGGGTTCTGCTCCCCCTTTGAAGAGTTAGCCATTTCATTTTATACAATCCACCCCTAGTTGAAACACCCTTCTTCTTTTTTTTTCTTTTCCAGTTATAACACTTATCGCATTATTCTGTTTGTTGACTTTGTGTCTCTTTGGAATTACGTAAAGGTGGGATTTCTGCCTTGATATATTTATATTATTCGTCTTTTTAATTACCAGTGCCTGACACATAGTATATCAAAAAATGCTTGTCCAATGATTGTGTTCTATCCTCAGAGTCCTGCAAAATTATTATGCTCATTAAGTGTACAAGAATCTTTTCATAAAAGGTACTGTTTATAGTCAGATGTTAATGAAACATTTATTATATTAGATTTTAAGTTGTTTGGAATATTGCATATATACCAGTTAATTTTCTTTTCTTTTCTTTTTCTTTTTTTGAGATGGAGTCTCACTGCAACCTCTGCCTCCCGGGTTCAAGTGATTCTCCTGCCTCAGCCTCCCGAGTAGCTGGGATTATAGGCACGTGCCACCATGCCTGGCTAATTTTTGTATTTTTGTAGTAGAGACGGGGTTTCACTGTCCAGACTGCGCCACTGCACTCCAGCCTGGGTGACAGAGTGAGACTCCATCTCAAAACAACAATGACAACAACAAAAACCTTGCCAGTTTTTCTAAACATTGGGTACAGCAAAACTAGTCATTGAAATAAAGAAGCATAGATTGAGGAATATATTCTAAGCAAGAATAAGTGAGTTATTTAGCTATTTATATGAAGATTTGAACATAGTGGTTTACAATTTCTGTTAAATACTCTGGATAGCAGTCTTAATATTTTGTGTAATTAATACAGTATCTCCGAGTGAACATACGATTTGCATTAGAGAAAGAACACAAGTTTAAAAGAGCAAGCATATTAGGCTTACTTCAGGCAGATGATAAAGTATTACATTTGAACTGTGAAAAAGTAAAAAATTATGAATTTTATCACAACACTTGGCCTTAAATGAATCAAAATCAACATAAATAGAATAAAAAACTTTATACATGAAGTTATGAGGCATTTCTTTATGCTTTATAAGTTATGAAGCATAAAGAAATTTAGATGTGGCAAATTTTCCTTAAAGTTGCCATCAATAAACTGGAATTACCTCTTGGATAAGGAACAAGACAGTTTTTCGGGAGATTTTGTCTATGGCAAACACATTTATAGAACTTCTAAAGGGAAGCATTAATAGTGATGTTGCTTGAGCTTATCTTCAGCTGGAGAAGCTAAGCTCTTTGCTCTCAAAATATATGGTCCACATAATACTGTACAAAATATTTGGCACTAAAATAATGTAGCTTTCCACTTAAATTGCCTTAAACAGGAAATACTTTTATCTCCTATCATATCAAAATATTTGGCACTAAAATAATGTAGCTTTCCACTTAAATTACCTTAAACAAGACATACTTTTATCTCATATCATATGCCCTTTTGACTACATAGATACGTATCTGTTGGAAACTATTTCTAGATTTTCTAATATACGAATCTAAGAGACTTGTAGCCTGTTTATCTATAGACGTTGAGGTCGACATTAATCTGCTTTAAAAAATAAGTGAAGAGACACACCATGTTTCTGCATGAAAAGTCTTAATATTATAAAAGTTTTCCATAATGTTTTACTGTTTATAACTTGAATTCTCAGTGTGTTATGGCCTTGCATGGTCTCTTCCTTTTAGATCTATCATTGTTATAGAACATAGCGACAGGTTTGCTGGCTAGACTTTCTAAAACTGACTTCCAAGTGCTTTAGAGGACATTGATTGGATTTGCCCCTTTTTATACACCTAGGATAGAGCTCTTCTGTTTTTTCTATCCTTAGGCATTTACAAGTGACTGGGCATTTACAAGTGACTGGGCTATTAAGGTGGGTATTTCAGGAGCAGCTAATATTGAAAGGCATAGTTAATGAAATGTTTCTAGAGAAAATTGAACATAAGCATTGCTCAAGTGAAACCTTTGGAATTGTTTTTAGCATAGAGATGCTTATTTGCTTTATTGTTTTATCAGTTATAAGTTTCTAGGAGTTACTAGGAAATGTAATTAACGGTATATGAACAAGAGTGATATGCTTCAAGAGGGAAGCTTGACTAGGAGAATTCAACAGGTGGAAGTTGTCTCTTGAAAGAGCAGTTCACCATATCAATTATTGGATATAGCAGAATGAGGAAAAGACGTTTATGACATTGGAAAATTGTGGTGTGATGGGAGAACCTGAAGATTTTATTTTTGCCATGTTTGTGTAGCTTTTTGAGTATTTTCTTGGCCAAGAATGTTTTCCTCAATTGTAAGAATTGCAGATCTAAAGGATTTTAAAAAACAGATTTTTAGTAATATCAGGCAAAACTCTGTACTCTTTTGACAGACCTCTGCCAGCCACCAGAAAGAGTTAATGCATCTTCAAATAGTTCACAGTGAACAGCAGTGACTTCTCACTGGGAAGGTCAGGGCACTTAACAGCTTGCTCTGTTTTATAGAGGAATTAGCTACTACTGGTGAGTTAGCTGTTCTCTGAGAGTCGGTTATCCACTGGAGAGCTGCCAAACTTTTAAAGACATCAGCTACTTCTTAGTGTCCCAAATCTGAAAAACTGTATATCGGTGTATTGTAGAGGAGCTGGAAATAGCTCCATTCTCTAAAAAAAAAAAAAGTTTATAATGAGAATAGCACTTAAAGGAATTTAAGGGAATAATTTTGCTACTGCACTGCTGATACTGTGGACAACTAAAGTATATTTAAGAAACCTTTTTGTTTTAGAGTAAGTTCAGACTTATAGAAACATTGAAAGAATAATACAAAAACTCTTACTCCCTTGACTCACATGTTACATTCATTAACATTTTTGCAAAATTTGCCTTATAATTCTCTCACAATATAGTTCTCCTTGTTACTATAATTTTTTTTAACAACTTAAAAATAAGTTGCAGACATGATGCTGTCCTGCCCCCTTAATGCTTCGTTGGATTTTTCCTGAAATCAAGGACACCATTAGATAACCACCGTGCTACCATAAAAATTGGGAAATAAATGCCAATCTGTTGTTACCATTTAATCCACAGACCCCATTCAGATTTCACCAGTGATCTCAGTAATACCCCTTTAGGCCTAGGATCTGTATCGAATCCATTTGTTTATGTTTAAGTCTCTCTTAATCTGGAGTTTTCCTAGTCTTTTCTACTCTCTCATTGCCTTGACATTTTCAAAGAGCACCAGTTATTTTTGAACAGGGATTTTTAGGATATTTCTCAGTTTGGGTTTGGCTAATGTTTTCTTATTGTTAGATATAAATTATGTGTTTTGGGAGGAATACCACAGAAGTGTGTTCCTATCAGTGCATTTTACCAGGAGGCATGAGATGTCAATATGTCCCATTACTGGTGATATTAACTTTTATCACTTGATTAAGATGGTGTCTTCCAAGTTTCTCTAATGTAAGGTTAATAAAATTTTTTTACTTGTCAATTAATAATAAGGATTCTGTGGGGGAGATGCTTTTTAATCAAACATTTTACCCATTAGTGTCCATTGATGATTCTTGCCCAAATCCATTATTACTATGATGGTTGTAAAATGTTTTTTGTTTTTTTTTTTTGGAGACAGGGTCTCACTCTGTCACCCAGGCTGGAGTGCAGTGGTGCAATCATGGCTCTTTGCAGCCTCAGCCTCCTTGAGCTCAGGTGATCCTCCCACCTCAGCCTCCTGAGTAGCTGGGACTATAGGCATGCACCACCACACCTGGTTAATTTTTGTATTTTTTGTAGAGATGGGGTTTCACCATGTTGTCCAGGTTAGTCTTGAACCCCTGAGCTTAAATGATCTGGCTGCCTTGGCCTCCCAAAGTGCTGGGATTTGGGAGTGAGCCACTGTACCCAGCCTGAAATGGTAGTTTTTGATTCCACCATTCCTTCTTCATGAACTAGTTGGCATTTGTGTTAGTCCATTTTCATACTGCTATGAAGAAATACCCGAGACTGGGTAATTTATAAAGAAAAAAAGTTTGAATGGACTCACGGTTCCACATGGCTGGGGAGGCCTCATAATCATGGCAGAAGGGAAGGGAGGAGCAAAGGCACATTTTACATGGTGGCAGGCAGGAGAGCATGTGCAGGGGAAGTGCCCTTTATAAAACCATCATATCTTGTGAGACTTATTCCCTATCATGAGAACAGCATGGGAAAACCTGCTGCCATGATTCAATTACCTCCCATGACACGTGGGGATTATGGGAGCTACAATTCAACATGAGATTTGGGTGGGGACACAGCCAAATGATATCACCATTGTATATAAAATAGAACTTTCTTTTCTTGTCTGTTTGTTTATATCAGTGTGGATTCATGGATTATTATTTTGGGTAGTGGGCTATAACCAGTTACTGTCATTATTTCCCAGAGTTTGCCAGTGGCAACTCTTTTACACTGACTTCTGTATCTTCTTCCCATACCCTAGTTATTCTTTGAGCACTTTTGGCACAAAAATGGATTTCAGACTTATTTTATACTTACCTAGCTTGTCAGTCAGCCATTTCTTCAAGAAACTCCCAGATTCTTTTAGTGGAGAATGGTATTTAGAAACCCACACCAGGACACTTGGTATATTCGTTGCCACTGGGTGTCATAGCTTCTAGGATCTGTCAGTGGACAGATATATGAAATATATGTATGTTTATGCATACAGATTTACTACCTCTAGAAACAACGTGATGTCCTTGTGTTAAAGATTGTTGCTTGTCTTAGCATTTCAATATCTAATATTTAAAGTTTGTAAAGATTAAATTAAAAACCTTGTTACAGTTATTACTGAAGTTTTCCTTTCAAGTTATCATGACTGAATCATATATTTCTCTTACAAAGATGTTTTAATTATGTCACTTATATCAAAGTTTTTTTTTTTTAGTCGTAATTATGTATTTTTTTTTTTTTGAGACAGAATCTCCCTCTGTCTCCCAGGCTGGAGTGCAGTGGCGTGATCTTGGCTCCCTGTTCAAGCGATTCCTGGGATATTTTTTCGCATTCTGTAGGTTGTCTGTTTACTGTTGATAGTTTCTTTGGGAAGCTTTTTAATTTGCCATTCTCTTTTATTTATAGTATGAATCAATATAACATGGTGTAAAATGAGTATTGTGTGTATTAGAATAGATGAATCAAGTACGTTAGGAAAGGGCTGCCTCTCTTGCAGGTAATTATATAATGGGTTAAAGAGCATTCATTGCCTTTGTCTTTTACAGGTGCCTGCCACAACGCCCAGCTAATTTTTGTATTTTTAGCAGAGACAGGGTTTTGCCATGTTGGCCAGGCCAATCTCGAATGCCTAACCTCAGGTGACTTGCCTGCCTTGGCCTCCCAAAGTGCTGGGATTACAGTCATGAGCCACCGTACCAGGCCTATAATTGTGTATGTTTTAATTGAACTTTTAAACTTTCCTCTTCTTAGTATGAAAGCAACAGTTTTTAGATCTGTGAAACTCTCAGAACTTTTTTGTTTTACAGATTTTGAAATATGCAACTTATATTCTTTTTATAGGTTGAGTCTGTGTTATTAATATTTCATCTTATATAAAAACATTTTTAGTTATCTGAAGCTTTTTATTTATTTCGTTAACTTTTATTTTCGGTTTGGGGGTACATGTGAAGGTTTGTTACATAGGTAAACACATGTCACGGGGGTTTGTTGTACATATTATTTCATCACCCAGGTATTAGGCCCAGAATACAATAGTTATCTTTTCTGCCCCTCTCCCTCCTCCCGCCCTCCACCCTCAAGTAGTTTCCTTCTTTGTGTTCCTAAGTTCTTATCATTTAGCTCTTACTTATAAGTGAGAACATGTGGTATTTGGTTTTCTGTTCCTGTGTTAGTTTGCTAAAGATAATAGCCTCCAGCACCACCCATGTTCTGGCAAATACATGATCTTGTTCTTTTTTATGGCTGCATAGTATTCTATGGTATATATGTTCCGCACTTTTAAAATCCAGTCTGTCATTGATGGGCATTTAAGTTGATTCCATGTCTTTGCTATTGTGAATAGTGTGCCATGGACATTGCCTGCATGTGTCTTTGTGGCAGAATGACTTATATTCCTCTGGATATATACCCAGTAGTGGGATTGCTGAGTTGAATGGTAGTTCTACTTTTAGCTCTTTGAGGAATTGCTGTACTGCTTTCCACGATGGTTAAGCCAGTTTACTCTCCCACCAACAGTGAATAAGTATTTCCTTTTCTCTGCAACCTCACCAGCATCTGTTATTTTTTGACTTTTAGTAATAGCCATTCTGACTGATGAGAGATGGTATCTCACTGTGGTTTTGATTTGCGTTTCTCTAATGATCAGTGATATTGAGCTTTTTTTCATATGCTTGTTGGCCACATGTATGTCTTTTGAGAAGTGTCTGTTCATGTCCTTTGCCCACTTTTTAAAGGGGTTGTTTTTCCCTTGTAAATTTGTTTAAGTTTCTTATAGACACTGGATGTTAGACTTTTGTCAGATGCATAGTTTGCAAATATTTTTTCGCATTCATAGGTTGTCTGTTTACTGTTGATAGTTTCTTTGGGAAGCTTTTTAATTTGCCGTTCTCTTTTATTTATAGTATGAATCAATATAACATGGTGTAAAATGAGTATTGTGTGTATTAGAATAGATGAATCAAGTACGTTAGGAAAGGGCTGCCTCTCTTGCAGGTAATTATATAATGGGTTAAAGAGCATTCATTGCCTTTGTCTTTTACACATATGCTTCCCTATCTGTCTATAATAGGGAAAAGCATCTTGTATTTTCATTTCTTAACAAGGGACAGTAGATTGTTTTTATTTTATGGCTTATGCTCTCTTGTCTTGATACTTTGGGTAGATATATTAGGGCAGGAATCGGAACAGATTGTACAAAGAATCTATGAGCCCTTAAAAAAACACTCTACTTCCATACATACTTAGTGAGTGCTACATAGTAAGGCAGTATGGTTTGAAGAATGTTTTGGATAAATGGACAGGGCAGCTTCCTCTGTTTTCCACCATGTGTGAGAGAATAAGGCTGAGGAATGCCACTGGCACCTGAGATGGATCTGATGAATGAGTGGCAGTACGTGGGTCACCATGGCATGACAGAAAATGACTCATGCATGGTAAATATGCAATATTTATTGAATGGCATGGAATGGTGAGTGAGAGTTGAGGCAATAAGTGTAAGTGAAGTAGGGTAGGCTCTTTTGTATTGTGTATTTTTTTTTCCTTTCAGTTATTTGCTCTAATCCTTATTAGAGGCACCATGCAAAGAGCATAGGCATTGTGACAGACAGGCATGATTTTTTTTTTTTTTTTGAGTCAGTCTCGGTCTGTCGCCCAGGCTAGAGTGTAGTGGCATGATCTTGGCTTACTGCAAGCTCTGCCTTCCGGGTTCACGACATTCTCCAGACAGGCATTATTTTTAATGCCAATGCCACTTCTTGCTGGCTGCATGTCTTTTACAGCCTGAGAAATCTTCGATCTCAGCTGACTCATTTATAAGATGAAGATGATAATACCTATCTTATGTATGGTTGTGAGGCTATAGAAAGTGCATCAGACACTTGAAAATATTAGTTCCTTTCTTCTATGTCTTTACTTGTAAATAGTTATTCCGTTTAAGTATTAACTATACATTCTAAATTGCTTTCTGTGTGCCATTTCATTTTTAACTAACAGTAGTTATAAATTCCCACACCTCCAGGTCAAACATTGCCTTTTTATATTGCTGGCAGAATTCTGGTTCTGCCCTCTTCCTAGTCCCCAGTGCTTCTCTCCACCCGACCCATGATGTTTTATTTATTTGTGTGGTTGTTGACATTCCTGCAGTGTCATGGACATCGTTGTTTTGTCTGCTTAGAACCACAGTGAGCTACAGAAAACTGCTGCCTCAGAACATGGAGTTTCAATGGACCTTTTAGTCATAGTCTCACGAGGTTCCTGGGGCCATAGAACATCTGGGCAGTTAATACATTTATCCCTTGGCTGAGATGCTTGCCCCAGGGATGGGCCAGATCAAGTGGAGCTTTTCCCTGAATATTTCACACTAGATACCATTCTCTCCAGTCATGGAGCTGGAAGGCTCTAGTTTGATTTGTCTGTAAAGCCAACTCCACACTGCCTACTTCTGGTTACACAAGAAAAATGAGTGCTCTTTATTTGCTTAAGCTAGTTTGAATTGGGTGTCTGTTACTTTTCACCAAAGAATGGACTTGGCCTGGAATCTTTATCCACTTTCTCACTCCAGTTGACTAAGTTTTACTGATTCCTGTAGACTCAGTTCAAGCAAATCTAATTCTTCTAAAATGTCCATTCTTAACCCTTAGACTGGAGTGAGACTACTCCTTCCTTTCCTGGTTCCTCTCAATATTTCTTAATAGGTAACAAGCTGTTTTAAAATTTTATGTGCACAAGTCCATGTCTTCTTTCATATCCTATTTCTAGAATATAAATTATCTGAATCTTTAGTACCAGTACAGATCCTGAAACATTATAGATACTCAGTAAATGTTAATTCAGTGAAAAGGCAATGATTTGCCTTTTGAATTCCATGCAAATAGTTACTTAGTAAAGATCTTTGGTAAGAAGAATGCAATATGAAATTCTTTTTATTACTTTTCATCATTACAGTTGTTACCTAACTCTGATCCTTAGACCAACAGACCAAAGGTTGGGATCCTTAGTCCCAACAGACCAAACCAAAATGGAGTTACTCATGCTGAAGTTCCCAGGCACCAAGTAGAAATTAAGTTGTTTATCCAAGGAAGATGTTCTTATCTGAATTTTATAGATGTGAAAATAAGCTTTTGTGTGACAGTTAGGTATCATACTGAAGGTCACCTGACAGCTTTAGCGACATAATTGGGATTAGAACAGGGGATTAAGATCATTTAGGAAGTTAAAGAAAATAGTACAAAAGAGTTTTCTATAACCCTAGCACCCATATACTTGACAGGTTATGGAAACTGTTTTCTCAAAGTTCTTCAGAATGAAAATTGCATGGAAACAAAGCCAAAACTCAGGTTGTTCATAATGATAATTTGCATGTATAATTACTAGCTTCTTTATATCAACTAGCTAATTACACCAGTTATAATTTCTAGATAATCTTCTATAATTGATTGTTTAAAGGAATTTAGTACAGCTGTTGTAAAGCCCATTGATGCCTCATTTCCCTTTTATTCTCCCTGGGACACCTCCAGAAATAGCTTAGCTTAAGCTTGCCAGGAGTGTTCATTTGCTGGGCACCCCTCAGGAGTTGAGTTTGAGTCCAGCTTATTTTAACCACAAAGCTTTGGTTCACCTTGTCTTTCACTGAATGGTTATCAGCAAGGACATTCTGAGTTACACTGGCAAGATTGTGGGTGGAGTGGCATGGGAAGGTAAATGTGAGCAGACACACTCAGGGATGGAGCTGCGCTGACCATATGAAAAGGAAGGGGTGGATGGAGAGAGAGTGAAGTGCTGTACCGGAGGAACCCTAATTACACAGGATAAAGCCTTAAGGGAGCAACTGTTCATATCTACACAAATCGATGGGGAAATAAAAGAATGGAAGATTCAAAACAGAAACAGCCATCTGCACATATAATAAACATTTGGCAAGTTGTGATTTCTCCATCTGTCCCCCGATGAGCCTGGAGTACTAAGCTGATGTATAGCAACGACGCTTAACAAGAAAAGCCCTTGAGATGTCCTCTTCCCTATTTCTGTCAGTTTCTCATTCTGCTTTATAAATTCCGGTAGTGTGACCCTTTGGTCATATTTGGAAAGAAGATACAGATATTAAGAAACAAAAGAGATTTTGAAGTACGTGCTTGGGTGGGGCACGAGGGGACAGTGTGGACTGTTTTGAAAATGGCCTATTTAGAATTCACAAAAATACCATTTGTTTAATTTTTAAAGAAATGAAACAATGCTAAATGACTCATTTTTCAGAGTAAAAGCTGTCAGCCTTTAAAGCGATGTATATTTCACAGTGAGAAAGGAATGTCTTCCAACTAAAGGCTGTAATGTTTGTCATCTATCAAGATTATAGAGTAAATTTTATAAATTTCCAGTTACAGAGTATATCTTCAGTGAGATGTAGCTACAGATATTGTGAGAATATTTCATGTAAACTCATATTCTCAACTGTCATGTGTATTTGTCATAATTTTCTTTTTCTGTGTTCATTGTCTGTGTGCAATGGTAGAGCTTGTTCTGTTTAACCCTTCTCTGGAGATTTAGAGTGAAATACCTTTATCTAGTCTTGCTCATTCTATGTGGACTAACTCTAGCTCTTCTCCTATTCCAGATGGGTGCTTTTTGGAATACATTATTATGTAGATTACAAAATTCAGCTAAAAATCTATTTATTCTGTTCAAGTTCTGCAGATGGTTCTATGCTCTGAAAGTCCTATGGGTTCTCAGACTAAGGTTTTTCTAAGTTTTTCTTTGCATTTCAGTGCCTTAAAGATTTTTTCTTTTTTGGTCCAATTTTTCTCCCCTCCAGTTTTCTCCTCTTTTTTCTTCCTAAATTTTTTCCAATTTCTCTCAGGTGTTTTGTTTTTTCTTTTCTCCCCCAATACTTTTTTAAAAGAGTAGTGGTTCGATCTAAATAAATTTTAAAAGCATTTTTGGGATCATTTTAATTAAAACCTTTTATTTTATCTTGCCAAATTGATTTGGAAGAAAAATTTTATCAACTTTTTTTTATGACAACAATATAAATGCCTGGGCATGAAAATCTCAGCAAATGGCACTGCATTTGTCAAGCCCTGAAGGCTTAAATGTTGCAAATCAGACCAGGAGATCCAGAAAGCTCTGGGTCAACCTCAAATCACTCTGCTGTACATACTCATTCCTGAAGTTCTGTTCCATATTAAGACTTCGGGCTTATTCATTGAACTCTGAAACTAGATGGACTTTTCTTTGTGATGAGATGAAAATATTTACTTTCAGTGATGGAGATTATGAAGAGGGGGAATTTTACTTTGCCTTCCATAGGTTGTTGATTTCCATATTGACTTATTTTTTAGATTAGGGTAAGACAATTAACTTTCTTTCCTTTGTTACCAGAAAGATATGCTTCATTCTTTTCTCCAACACGTGATTTTACGATTTGAAAACATACATTTGGTGGTTTTAATACTTAAAAAGAAAACACCAAAAAAGTTACTCACAGAAAACTAGGATTGCCACCACTTGCGACTCTGTGTAATGATAACCTGGGTATGTGGTTTGAGAAATTTGTGGTGGTCAGGTGATTCGGCAAAGGCAGTTTCCACAGTTAATTCACTCTTACCTCTTAGGATGCAGGAGTGTATAGGGAGGGGGCCTACTGTCATCATTACTGCTCTGAAGGTTGGCTGTGTTCCATCAAAGACCAAAGCTGTCATGGCTGGAAATATGGGAGCCTATGAAATGTGTGATGAAAGGGGTTGCAGCGAGGGTGGCATTCTCCTATTTACTTCACCCTCAATCTGCCCTGTTTATGTTTGCGGCAAGCCTCTGTCCAAGAAGGCAAAGACTTTTGCAATGTTGCTTCAGATGAAGAGTGATTCCATTTCAAAATGATCAAGAGGAACTAATCCGGGGAACTGGGTTGCCAAAAACCATTTTGGAAGAAAATTGCTCCTCAGTTGTTATATTTTTATTTCTGTTGTGTTCAGTCACCTGATTCTGTACATAGAGTGATTTAGATTAAAAGAGTCTTGATTTTATTCATAAGAGCTAAAGGAAATTATTATACATTAATTCCTGACTTGTTCATTTTTCTGGAAAAATCTAGTATAGATTCACACCAGCAAACGTTATACTGGTTTTCCATTACTGTATTTAATCCAAATATGACTAACAAAAGTTTAAGGGTAGAGGGTGAAACATGCTGGAAGGATATGTAAAAAACATGAACATTGCCCAGGTAAATTTTCAGGTTTTTTTCCTTTAAAATCTTATTTGGTAGTTCACCTCAGACCTTAGCATAGAATGTTACAAAAGCAGAAATGTGTTTGAGATCTGTTTCATGACACGAAGCATTTTACTGTCATGTTTGAGCTTTGCTTGTTTCATCCCTTCCCTCTACTCCCCCCAAGTCCTCCCCAAAATAATAAACAAACCCAACAGTACTGAAGCACCCCCTTAATGAAGGCTGAATTTTGTGTCCCCTGTTGATTTTAATACCTGTAGAGAATGCCAGATATTCAATGTTTGCTTCCTAATGTTATTTTAAGTACACATGCTTGCTTGCTTCCTGATGTTATTTTAATTTTTCTTCCCATTATAGTCTATTCCTTTCTTTGGCCCTTCCTCCTGTTGATAAATTGTCAGAGGAGTATTTCCCAAAGTATATCAGAAATCCATCATGTATAGTTCACAAAATGAATTCATGAAAAAGTAATTTAGCATTTTCTCTTTGTTCTTATAAGCAACATAAAACAAGAATATGGAAGTGTGGGCTTTCAAGAGTTTTCACTTAAACAGTGAATAAAGCACAGTTATAAATGTGTGAAGGATGCAAAGATCAGTGACCCAGGGATCCTAGCTCTTACAGGATCTTGCAAGTCTAGTGAAAGAGATCAATGATTATGAATAATTCGAGCGTGAGTATTGGGGCAAGTGCCGAGGGAGGTCTAAATACAGAAGGAGCCAGCTTCAAGCTTCAAGCTGGAGCAGCAGAGGTGTGAGGTTCACTAGCTGCTCTGATGGGTTCCATCTTCTTTTTTCTTTTTCTATTTTAATATTTAATTCAAAAATAGAGACAGGGTCTTTCTGTGTTGGCCAGGCTGGTCTTGAACTTGAGTCTAGGCTGGACTCAAGTGATCCTCCCGCTTTGACCTCCCACAGGCTGAGATTACAGGCATAAGCCACTGCACCCATCTTGAAAGTTCCATCTGAATAATATTGTTGATATATACAGCAGATACTTAAAAGTTTATATTTTGGGCCGAGGCGGGTGGATCACGAGGTCAGGAGATCGAGACCACGGTGAAACCCCGTCTCTACTAAAAATACAAAAAATTAGTCAGGCGCGGTGAGGGGCGCCTGTAGCTCCAGCTACTCGGGAGGCTGAGGCAGGAGAATGGTGTGAACCTGGGAGGCGGAGCTTGCAGTGAGCGAGATCGCGCCACTGCACTCCAGCCTGGGAGACAGAGTGAGACTCCGTCTCAAAAAAAAAAAAAATGTTTATATTTTGAAGGTATTCATTCCTTTTTTGTTTTCTTTTTCTTCTGAGACAGTCTCTTGTCGCCCAGGCTGGAGTATGATGGCACAATCATAGCTGACTGCAGCCTTGAACTCTCAGGCTCAAGCAGTCATCCCACCTCAGCCTCCCGAGTAGCTGGGACTACAGGCATGCACCACCATGCCCATCTATTTTTTTTTTTTTTTGTATTTTTTCCAGACAGGGTCTCCCCATGTTGCCTGGGCTGATCTCAAACTCCTGGGCTTGAGCAATCTACCTGCCTCAGCCTCCCAAAGTTCTGGGATTACAGGTGTGAGCCACTGTGCCTGGCCAATATTCATTCTTTCTACTTCTGTTTAAAGCTTTTTGTTTTGGGGATGCTTTTTCTTTCATTTAGTTTTGGACATGAATAGTCTGTTGTGGTTATTAAGAGACAAGGGATTGCACAAGATTGCTTCCAAACCTGTGTAGGTATTTGCTCCTGCAGGTAAGAAATTGAGCCAGTGGCTGAATAGTTCCTGAGTCTCATACCAGTGTTGCTAGGGAATAAATTCAATGCAAGGTGAGTAAGAACAGGTATTATTTGATTTATATGTGTTTATCCTGATGTGTCTAGAATCACAGTCTTTGATATAGCCAATAACAAATAGGGTTGACCTCCTCCCATTTATTAGCCGGATACATGTTTTCTGTGAAGCCACTTAGTAATTTCACTTATGGTTATTTTGATAAGGGGACTTGATCTGTGACTTAAACATTATCAAAAAGGATTTTTTCCCTTTTCTACACATCCTCCCCAACACTTGTGGTCTCTTCTCTTTTTGGTAATAGGCTTCCTAAGAGGAGTGAGGTGGTATCTCATTGTATTTTGCTTTGCGTTTCTGTAATGATTAGTGAAGTCAAGCATCTTTTCATATCCCTGTCGGCCATTTTTATGTCTTCTTTGGAGAAATGTCTATTCAAGTTTTTCTCCCATTAAAAATTTTATTTCAATTGATAAGTAAAAATTTTATACATTTATGGTATAAAACATGATGTTTTGATACCCATATACATTGTAGAATGGTTAAATCAAGCCATTTAAGATATGCATTACCTCACATTCTTAACTTTTTTGTGTGGTGAGAACCTTTAAAATCTACTCTCTCAAAGACTTCGAGTATATAATATATTGTTATTATTAACTATGGTCACCATGATGTACAGTAGGTGTCTTGAACATGTTCCTCCTATCTAACTGAAATTTTGTGTTCTGTGACTAACATCTTATCAGTGCCTCTACACTCCAGCCTCTGGTAACCACCATTTTACTCTGTTTCTATGAGTTAATTTTTTTTAGATTTCACAGATAAGTGAGATCATGTGGTATTTGTCTTTCTGTGCCTGGCTTATTTCATTTAACATCACGTTCTCCAAGTTCATCCATGCTGTTGAAAATAATAGGATTTGCTTCCCAGGCTGAATAGCATTCCATTGTGTATGTATACCACAGTTTTTATATTCATTCATCTGTTGGTGGACACTTACATTGATTTCATATCTTGGCTATTGTGAATAATGATGCAATGGACATGATAGTATAGATACCTTTTCAACATACTGATGTCATATCCTTTAGATATATACCCAGTAGTGGGATTGCTTGATCATATGGTAGTTCTATTTTGAGGAACCTCTATACTGTTTTCCATTATGACCATACTAATTTACATCCTGGCCAATAGTGTGGTTCCCTTTTCACCACATCCTCACCAACACTTAACTTGTCATCTTTTTTTATAATAACCATTCCAACAGGTGTGAGGCGTTGTGGTTTTAATTTGAATTTTCCTGATGATTAGTGATGTTGAACATTTTTTTCTTACAACTATTGACCATTTGTATGTCTTCTCTTGAGAAATGTTTGTTCAGGTCCATTGCCCATTTTTAAATTGTTTTTTTTTAAACTATTGAATTGTTCCTTATATATTTGGGATATTAACCCCTTATCAGATATATGGTTTGCATACATATATTTTCTCCTTTTTCATAGTTTGTCTCTTCACTCGGGTAATTTTGTTTGCTGTGCAGAAGCTTTTTAATTTGATTACATCCCATTTGTCTATTTTTGCTTTTGTTGCCTGTGCCTTTGGGGTCATACTGAAAAAAATCACTGCTTGGATCAATGTCATGGAGCTTCTGGTAGTTTTACAATTTCAGATTTTATGTCTAAGTCTTTAATTCGGTTTGAGTTGATTTCTGTATATGGTGCGAGATAAGGGTCTAACTTTATTCTTCTGCATGTGGATATCCAGTTTTCTCGGCACCATTTACTGAAGAGGCTATCCATTCCCATTATGTGTTCTTGACACCTTTGTTGAAAATTAACTGACCATAAGTGTGGGAACTTATTTCTGGGTTCTGTCTTCCATTCCACTGGCCTATGTGTATGCTTTTATGCTAGTACCATGCTATTTTGATTACTATAGCTTTGTAGGAGATTTTGAAATCAGGTAGTGTGATGCCTTCAGCTTTGTTCATTTTGCTCAAGATTGCTTTGGTCGTTCTGGGTCTTTTGTGGTTCCACGTGAATCTTAAGATTTTTTTTTTACTTCTGTGAAAAATGTCATTGGAATTTTGATGGGAATTGCATTGAATCTGTAGATCACTTTGGATAGTGGAAACATTTAAACAATATTATCAAAAATGATTTAAAAAACATCAAAAAATACAATATTAATAAAAGATTTTGAATTCATTGAATGATTGCTTTCTTAGAGCAATTCTGCATTCACAATTTTTTCTTTTTTTCTTTTCTTTCTTTCTTTTTTTTTTTTTTTAAGACAGGGTTTTACTCTGTTACCTAGGCAGGAATGCAGTGGCATGATCATAGCTCACTGCAACCTCAAACACCTGGGCTCAAGGGATCTTCCTGCCTCAGCCTCCTGAGTAACTGGGACTACCAGCATACACCATCATGCCTGGCTAGTTTTTTGAATTTTTAAATTGTTTTGTAGAGATAAGGTCTCACTGTGTTGCCCACACTGGTCTTGCACTCCTTGTGCCTTGACCTCCCCAAGTGCTGGGATGATAGGCATGAGCGTGCGACTCATAATTTTTTCAAACTGTCAAAAATACACGTAATATAACATTTACCATCTTAACTATTTTAAAGTGTACAGTTTAGTAGTGTGAAGTATGTTTCCATTGTTGTGCAGTCTCCAGAACTTCTTTTCTTGCAAAACTGAAACTCTGTACCCATTAAACAACTCCCCTTTGTCCACCCATCCCATCTGTAATTTTTAAAGATTACTTTTTATTAAGAGAGAATAAAACCTGTAATATAAAAGCAGAGCAAAGATCCTAATAGGAACTATATTAGGAAGAGCTGAAAATGGAGACTAAACAGAAAAGTAGCTGCAGAGTTACTCTACAATGGAAGTTTTTATTTTAGATTCATAGAGAAGTCATTCTTCTCTTGCCCTTAATACCTAGAATCAGTAGAGGAATTAAAATGTCTGGAATTGATTGATGTCTTCACCTGCTTTGGCTTTTTATTGAATCTCTTCTAACTTTGTTATTTAATCTCCCTCTTTCCTTTTACTCCCTCTCCCCCAGTTTTAAGGGAAAACTCTCTCTCTCTTTTTCTTAAAATAAATTTTAATTTCTTTAGCAAGGTGCTGGCCCTAACAAACCATCTGTTGTTAGAAACAGTGCTTTCTTATAACTTTAGTGCTGGAATAACTGGGTGAAAAACACATTATCATACTGCTTTCTTTTGGACATAAGTTATATAGCAACCTGTTAAGATATTTTCTGAAAACTTACCAGTTGGCTTTAAACAGAGAAAAAAAAAACACTTACATACATAGAGATTTTGAACTATATAAATTAAAAATTAATGCAGATATATGAAAACTGTCATAACTTTCTATGGAGGGCTCTATTTAGACCTAATTTGTGATAACTTTGGGCTAATGTTTCTAGTTTCCAATTTTGAGAGTGTTGTTGCTTTTGGAAACTTTTCCCTTAAGATTAACTCTGGTATCGCATCATTAAAATATGTTTTCTCTGTCAGCTGTGTCATTTAGCCTAACTAGTAGCGAATGCAATTCTAAAATTGGCCTCATTTATGAAGTTTAATTTGAATAAAAACTGTAAGTTCAATTAAAATAATTGGTCAACCGATGGTGGCTTGACATACAAACTCATGGAAAGCTAGGGCAAAAATCCATTTTTAAAAACCGAGAGTAGCTGAATACTTGATTGAATTCTCTGTTTTGCTTGTATAGACAAATTATCAAGTTAAAGATAATCCCAAATATTCTGTGACATTTAGAAGTACATTGAGGAATATTATTTCCCCCTCACTCCTCAGTTTTACTAGGAAAAAGGTTTCATTGATATTATCTTTAATATAAATGCCCAGAGAATATCCTTTCCATAGTCTTACTGGCACTATCATAAAAGTGAATTCAATAAACAAGTAACAAAAATACAGCAGTTTTTAACAAGATAGATTTAAATATTGTAAAGAATTGAAGTTCGAAAGGATTTTCTTTGATAACAAAAGATTTCTAGCAGAAATTCTCAATATTTTAAAATGAATTTCCAGTTATTTCTATGACTCAAAATTAATTTTCCATTTGCATAGTTAACGACTTTTTGCTTGATACCAGAGTAATGTGTTTTTCAAAGGATTTTATGATGGAGATAAATGAACTTGTATCTGAGCTGTGTGTTATAGTTTCTCATTTCCATTACAAGAAAGAAATGACTGTCTGATTTCATCCTGCAGTGGCTTCCTAAATTCAGGCCTGAATTATTTTGATTTTTTTTTTTCACAGCCAGTTTCTTAACACTGTATTTTTCTGGTCAAAATGACAAGGAACTCCATGAGACTGAGGGGCAGATGAACTCATCTTTGCTCAGTATTTTGCAATCTGGGTCAGCATTATTAGCCTCTTGGAATAAGGTTTGTGTATAGCACAATAGGTGACATTTAAAACAGTATTTAAGACCAGGTGTTGGTGGCTCACACCTGTAATCTCGGCACTTTGGGAGGCCAAGGTGGGAGGATCACTTGATCCCAGGAGTTAGAGACCAGCCTGGGCAATCCCACCTCTAGTTGAAAAAACAAACTCCAGTATTTAATACCCGAAATGTGCATTTGAGTGCACAATCTTTGTACACCATGTATGGGGAGGAAATGGATTTGTGGAACATTTGATGAAATAAGGGATTGCTTCATCTCAGTATCAGTGATTAAGTCACAATAATTAACTTTAAAGTCAGTATTTTTTATAGATTTGGAATATGATTGTCTTTTGTTAAGAAAGTTGTCACTTTTAAAGTACTTCGTTATTTTTAATATTAAAGGAAATGAGGTACATTTGTAATCCAAAAATTATTTTCTTATAAACATAATAGAGAAGTTCTCTTTGCCCAGTCTATGATATGCCGCTTCATTTCAGGTTTTTCTCCCAAGACTCTACACACAACCAATAGAGTATCATTAGTGCTCCTTTGAAGTATAATTGTTCTTAGCAAAAATAATTATTCTGGAGTTCTTGTTACAGAACATTTTGTAACAGGAAAGCATGTATAAATATACTCCAAAGAATTACTTAGTAACAGTTTCCCAGCAAATAAAAAATTACTAAGGAGTCTCTCCCATCAGGGGTTGCAAAGGTGAGTGTGACCTAATGCCTGTCTTCAAAGATTTTGTGAACTCCCCAGCTGAGTTCACAAAGTCCCCATGCAGTTAGGGAGTTAGGGGGATTGTAAATGGGATAGGAGAGGCTGAAGCCAAGTTCAGTGGTGCCTCCAAGGATGGAGAGATTGTACGTGGCCAAAGGGTCCAAAAAGGCTTTGTGAGGACGATGGTCACTGTTCTGAGGCATCATCTGCACACAGTGAGTGAGAAGTACCTCAGATACCTGAGCAGTGGGGATGCCACCCTGCTGTTCCCCTATTTATCATTTCTCCAAAAGAAACTAGGAAAGCAAATGTAGATTTTATTAGTGCTTCATTATAGATAAGTGAATAGAATTTTCTTTGATAAGTAATCTAAATTTTAAGCAAAGAGTGATGTTTTTATTCGTCTCTGCTTTTGACTTTCCAGTGTTGGGCTCTTGAGAACCAGGGGGTAAATCTGCCTAAATAATTCCCCCTTTTATAACTGCTTGGTCTTTTCTGTTCACTCAAGGTCCGTTTTCTGAAGGCCTCGTTCAGCTCTTGTAGAGGGTATATTTCTTCTCTAGATTTTGTTCACCCTTTCCCCCTGAATGATTTCCTGCTTTAATATTTTCTTGGACTGCTTGTTCTCTTCCTGTCCCCATTGCATCTGCGTACCCCACTACATTTGGTGTAACTTATTAAATTATTGTTGCGTAGAATTTACAAGGATCTCAGGAAGCATAATTGTGTGGGGTTATTTGAAAATCACTGTTATTTCTGATTATGTTCCAGAAAGCTTTACTAGAGATCTAATTAGGTCTCCTGATTATCTTCTTCAAAGTAGAAATATCTGCATTCCACGTTGCTTGAAGCAGTTGTAAATTTCGTGCTTATTTGCCTCACCAAATCGCCACTTGAGGCCCAAGTAGTTTCACACTATAGAAGGAAGTTTATACACGTAGATTTGTTGATTACTGACTGTTGTAGCACTCTAAAAAGAAATTCAAACCTTTGAAAATCTAAAAATTATGCTGACTTGTATTTATGATTTACATGCTATACATTCACTTTTTTTTTGTAACTATTTTTGTGGCTCTCTGAATTGCAGAGGCCATGTAGGTAGAAGGCTAGCTATAGCTAGTGAGCATTCATTGCAACTTTTCTTGGACCAATTGTCTCTCAGATAAGAGATGTCCTTTGTCCATTCCTATTGCCACTGCTCTGCCCAGCACAAGTCCCCCACCCCTTCTGGAAGATGGCAGCATCTAACTTCTTACTATAGCCACTGAGGAGTTTCCTGGATCCAGGCTCTCCAATCTTCTTTGGCCTATTCTGTCTCTGCCAAAATGTGGTACTTGCCCTTCTTCTGATATGTTCCTCCCTCTCCTCTTCCTTTGTGTTTGTTCACGCAGTGTTCTTCTCATTTCTGCCCAGTGACATCCTGCTCTTCCTTTAAAATCTAGCTCCAGTGCCGCTTCCTGCGCGAGGACTTCTGATCCTTCCAGAAACTTTTTTTGCTAGTAGCACACCGTTCTTCCAGTGCTTGTCATATTTGGCATTCTACTGTGGTTATTTGTGCACGTCCTATCACCCCTGATGAGAGACACCATATCATATAATCTATTTTTATATTCTCATAGCATGTAGTGTGGAATCAGGCACATGGTAAGCACTCAGCGAAGATTTTTTGATTTAATACAATTTGTGAGTTCCACATATGTACCAGATGGAGGTGACTGGGAGACCACAGTTAATGTGTGATGCCCACTTCAGCCTCCCTCTGTGGAAGAATGTAAATTGTTATAAACCTTTACACTACTGTGTGGTTCTCATTCATTTCCTGCTGTAATTTCAGAAATATATCTATTAGAAGAGTTAGAAGAGTATTTATCCCCCTTTAACATGATTTTTGATAATATATTTTATACAACTTCGAGGTATGCCTCATCAGAACTCACATATTTGCCTTCTATATTTTCTTAAAGCTGGTAATAGACTATAAAAACTAAAAAGTTGGTAAAAATCTGCAATCCTTACTAGATACATACATTGTTAGACAGAAATCCAAGGAATAGGGTGAAAATGTTGCATAAAACTTCAACAGCTCCTTTTTCCTCCTCCAGCACTGGAATGAGAAGAGGCAGAACGGTAGAGAGGCCAAATGATTGCTTAAAGACACCTCTTAGATTGCAACAGAGCTTGACCAGCAAAATAACCTCCAGCAAAACTTTCTTAAGCAGTTATCTGAGGCAATTGTAAAAATTGGTTGGTTACAGCAAAGTGGCTAAAGTCACATTTGAATTACTGTAAAAGTACCCTGAGTTATATAATCTCCATTTGTGTGTGTGTGTGTGTGTTTGTGTGTGTGAAAGAGAGAGAAAGTAAAACAATTAATAGTTACACAAAACAAACGTTTAGATCAGTGGTCCCAACCCTTTTGGAGTTATGGCACCCAAGAGGTCCCACATGTGGTTTTTGGTCCCTTGGATAGTGGCTGCTCCTATTTTGCCCCAGTCTTCAATCCACCTTTAGCACAACCAGAACTGCTGCTATGATAGTAACAGGGTATATGTGTGTTTATTTTGCGGAGGTTGCAGCAGAGAGTAGGGAGTGAATAAAAATTGTAATTCAAACATAGCACTTGGAGTTGTTAGAATATCTGTGATTCCAAAAATTGAGAAAAAGAAAACCATTGAAATAAAGTGTTTAGCAGAGCTGGCCCTTCTGAGAAATTATTAGCAATTGCTTATGTAAGGCTGTGTCTTCAAGCTGCCTGTATTTTTCACCTTAACACTGCTTGAAATATTGTTAATTAAATATTTATGTAGATAACAAGTGTTCTATTTTAAGAACACAGACCTCTTTGGAAAACTTAAGGGGACCTCTCAGAGTAACTAACAAGAAGCTTTGGCCTAATAGCTAAATGTATGCCCTTCATTGTTTAGGATCTTTTGTTTGCTAGAAATTCTCTTTTCCCCCTTTTTCAGCTGGAAAATTCCTACTTATCTTTTAGGGCCCAGCTCAAATGCCGCATGCCCTGTGTAACTGTCCCAGATCCATCTCCTGTCTGGCAGGAAAAGTAATTATCCCTCCATCTGGATTCTCATTTAAACAGGTCTTTTCACACATTCGATTACAATTTTTCTTTATATTCTTATTTCCCAATAGAAAGAATAAATACCATGGCATACTCAATGCTATATCGGTGGGGCTTAGTAACACCTGCTGGCTGAGTTAAAAAATTTTGGCAATTAGATTACCTTAATTTTAAATGAATCACACTAGGTGATTTTCAAGTCAGTCCTTGCCAAATCTAACATTTTATGATCTCAGGAGAAATGCTTACATTTTAGTCATTGACAATTATGATAAAATAATAATAAAATAATAACAAGTATAGTTAGCATATCCAGATAGTTTATTATATTTCACATACTGGGATTTATACTCACTTCCATTTAATTTTAATAACAACCCTATGGTGGTGGTAGTATCATTACCACGTTGACAAATGTGGAAGATTATGTGACTTACTCAAGATTGCATAACTAGTAATTGGCACGATGTGAACATAGGACTGTCAGATTTCCAAGCTTATCTGTTCATCAGTAGAGTTGAAACTAAAAGGTAAAAAGCCAGGCAGCCACCTGAGGCATTTATTTATAAGGGTTGCTAACACATGAATCACTGGAATAAGAATAATACTACTAGTTAAAATAGGTTTCCATATCTTAATTCTTCATGTCTGAAAACAAAACAAAACACACTTGATTCCTTAAAGGAGGCCACATCCTTTCATGCGTGCCCCTCCTCCTCTGCCTGGTCTGTATGTGCCCCTGTTCTCCATGATGAAGGTCCTTAATTAAACCTATCCTGATCCCCTATGCTAAAAACTAGAAGGAGCCTTCTATTCTGAGCCCAGGCAATTTTTTTTTCATTTTTATGACTCTTATTTTCTATCTGGTATTATAATTTCAGCAGGTGATAAGATGAAATCCAGTTTGAGCTGAGGTCCTATGTGCCCACCACTCTCAGACTCCAAAGGGCAGTGTTACTCCTCCCAGGTAGCACTTACCCGGGGCAGGTGGTGCAGGACACAGGTTTGAGGATGCCGGCTCAGCACACACCTTCAGCCTGCACATGAGGCTGGAAGGAGATTTGGGAAGTAGAAGGAGGTGACGTGTCTAGGGCAAGTGGCAGTTGTGCTGTGAGCCCCATTTCAGCGAGGGGGCAGCAAGTAGAGCCTGGCATGTGGGCCCTGGCTCTTGGGGGACAGGGTGTGGTGTGTGAGTCATGCCAGTGGCAGAGAACAGAAGACGATGGGTGGGAAGTAGCTGCTTTTCCTGCTAACAGTGGACCAGAGATATTGGGTGGAATTGTGAGTGACCATCCGGAGCAGGTGCTTTTGGGCATGTCAAGGAGGGTCCACCTATGAGCAGAGCAAGCAGCTTTGAGCATCTGCACAGTAAACCAACAAAGATACTTGCAGGGCAGTTTGACCTTCCCTGCCCTCTTTTCTCCTCCAGGGGTCAGAAGAAACTGCTAGTCAGCCAGTAGGATCTAGGTTTGGGCAAGTGAAGAGAGGAAGCCCACCCTGCCCTTGTGCCTCACAGCTGCCTGAGCCAGTGGAGGGTGACACTTTCCCTTTGAATGGAGCCCATAGTTTGGTTATTACATAGACTGGGTATTTACCGAATGAAGACTATTTTAGGGACTTTTTATTATCCACAACCTGGCACCTAACCACGGTGACTGTCTCAGATTTAATCCAGGGCTGGCATAAGATGTAGCCTGATCAAATAGGTTTCCAGGGTGCTTGTGCAGGAAAAGTTGCTTTGTGCCTTTTGAGTATTGCTTGTATGTTGCTCTTTCCGTATGCCTGGGTCGTCTTTGTCTTTTCCTGCACTTGAGGCTCTGTGAATACTGCAGCTTGGAAATGAGAGGGGGCTGATGTCTCAGCTGTCAGCACTTAGTTATCTTTGTAAATCATACAGAGCTGAGCACTCAGTTGTTCAATACATATTTGTTGAATAAACGGTTTGCAAAATTAGGCCAAATATAATTTTCATTAAAAATTTTTGAGAAGTACGGAGATTACTTTTTTAAGGAAACTTTAATTTCAGAGTAGTAATTTTAGACTTACAGAGAGGCTATAAAGATACTGCAGAGTTCCCATACACTGCATGCCTAGTTTCCCTTCTTGTTGACATGACTTGAGTATATTTGTCACTACTAGTGAACCAGTGTTGCTTTTTATTTATACAAATTATTCTTCTTACAGCATAAAATAATAAAGGAAAGAATGCCACAATATTTGTCTCAGAATAGCTATTTTGATTTCCAGATTGAGGTTTTGTACAATTTGCTAAACTTTGTTATGCATTTGCTTTGTACAAGTAATGTGCTTCCTAATTTCAGTTACAAATCAAAGTGTATTGCACAATTCCTAGTGAGTCAGATTGCTAAGTTCTGTGACCCTTGAATTTCATAAAGTAGCTATGCTTTTCTTTAAAATGGCCAAGGAGGAAACTTGATATTTATGTGGACTGTTGTCTTCAGTCTGTGATGGAGTACTTTATGTTGTTGCCAGAAATAACATGAATTTAACAGTTAAGATCATTTTTGGTACCAGTGGTTTTGTACAAAACCATAAAATATAACAAGATGATCAAGCAAAACTCTTTCATCTAAGAAGTTTTCCCTTAAATACAGCTCACCCTTTATGTCTCCGATTTCAAGAAATTTTGTGGCCTTCCTCACAGAATAATTATAAAGGAAAAGTCAGTTAATGTAAGAAAAATGCTTAAAAAGCCACAAGACTCTAAATAAATTAAAGCAACAGAATCAGTTTGGATTAGTGTGATATATAGTTTGTCACTACTTGCGAGAAGCACATTTGGTGGTCTGTTATTTAATATGTGTTCCCAAGTAGAGTGTAAATTATTAAAGTGAACAATGCTGAGATTGAAGTACTCTCAGATGGTTTAATGCCTATGTGAAGATGGCTTGATAAACTTGTTTTTGTATTCGACTTACTCATCTGTACTGGAAATGTCATCAATCCAATATTTTTCTCATGTCACCCATTCTCTGCAGTATTGTAATCACTGGGACTTTATAGCTTAACAGCCACCAGCACTGGTGAATGTCTACAACTGGATGTCTTCTGTCAGTCCTAATTCAGTATGTCTAAAACCAATTCTTCTTTTAAAGTCTTAAGTATTTCTCTTGAAATCCCAATTTCAATTTATGGTAATAAATCAGTGACCTATCCTCACACCTCATACTTTACTTTTTTTTTTTTTTTTGTGAGATGGAGTCTTGCTCTGTCACCCAGGCTGGAGCGCAGTGGCATGATCTCGGCTCACCGAAACCTCCACCTCCTGGGTTCAAGCGATTCTCTTGCCTCAGCCTCCCAAGTAGCTGGGATTACAGGCATGTGCCACCAGGCCTGGCTAATTTTTGTGTTTTTAGTAGAGATGGGGTTTTACCATGTTGGCCAAGCTTGTCTCAAACTCCTGACCTCAGGTGATCCGCCCGCCTCAGCCTCCTAAAGTGCTGGGATTACAGGCATGAGCCACTAGGCCTGGCCCATACTTTCGATTTGCTTTCTTTCCATCCCATTTCAGTCTTCACATTGTTGACTTTGAATGGCCTTTCTATGAATTTTTTCCTATTCACTTCTAAATCCCTATTTTAAGGATCACCTCATATCTGGATTATTGACATAGCATTCTGACTGGTTCTACCCTGCTCTATTTTCTCTTCCCCCAAAATACACACACATGCATATACACACAGACCACACCCACACAGACCACACCTACACACCATCCTGCATACCCTTTCTTCTCCCAACATAAACACACACAAACACCAACATCCCCCCATATTCTTCCTCCATATAATACACACATGCACATACACACTTCATTAATTGATCTAGTTGATGGTCACATTAATTGTCCTAAAATACTTCCCCTCATTTCAGCTTACTAAAAACTTTTCGTGGGTAGCTCCTCATGCTTATGGGATGTGGTCTGGACTTCTCAGTCTGACTTTGTAGGCAGTTCACCTTTCAGTTCACTTTGTTGAGAATTCTTCCTCTGCTATGCCCTTGGCTTTCTGTATGCAGGAGGAGATTTATGTGCTTGTTATCAAGACTTTCTACAGAGTGACCTGGCCTTTGTTTAACCAAGTCAGCTGTTTTAGTGGTGTCATCTAGAACTCATTGGAGATTGTTCAGTGGCCTAGGCCTACCACCCTCCCTCTGACATGTCACTGACATGACATGACACTGAGAATGAACTCAACCATGGGAATGCGGATGTAGTATTGCAGTGCCATAAAGGGACAAAATACTTCTAATTGCTAATGGGATTGCTTGATCACTGTACATCACTCCAAACACAAGCATCACAGGAGGCATATGAAGTTGAAGAGACAATTGTTTTTTTCCACCCTAAGCACAATCTCTTGTGGGACCCTTCTTGACATCATGGAACCCCAATCAAGAAACCCTGCTCTAGAAGAAGAGAAGGAGAACCATGTTTGGTTTTAGTTATTTGAGATCCTGTAGAGAACCACCGAAGAGAGGGGCTCCAGAAATGCAAACACCTGTGGTTAAAAGCTAGGGTACTGTGAATCAGTTTTTATACACTGAGGAAGCTACAGGTCATATAACTGGAATCTTGACAGTGTAATACAAAGTGTTTCCCGCCGTGATGCTTAGTGACAGAAAGAACTCTATCCTTTTAAGACTAACAGTCTGGCCTCTTTGTTCTTGAAATTCCATATCTGCAGGTGTGGTCCTAGGTTTATCAGGGGTATCCAATGTCTTTTGGCTTTGCTGGGCCACATTGGAAGAAGAATTGTCTTGGGCCACACATAAAATACACAAACAATAAGGATAGCTGATAAGCTAAAAAAAATCACAAAAAAATCTTATAATGTTTTAAGAAAGTTTACAAATTTGGCCGGGTGCGGTGGCTCACGCCTGTAATCCCAGCACTTTGGGAGACCGAGGCAGGCAGATCACAAGGTCAAGAGATCGAGACCACCCTGGCCAACATGGTGAAACCCTGTCTTTACTAAAAATACAAAAATTAGCCAGGCGTGGTGGTGCGCACCTGTAGTCCCAGCTACTCGGGAGGCTGAGGCAAGAGAATTGCTTGAACCCGGGAGACGGAGGTTGCAGTGAGCCGAGATTGTGTTGCACTCCAGCCTGGGCAACAGAGGGAGACTCCGTCTCAAAAAAAAAAAATTAGTTTTTGGCTGTTCAGTGTTTCTGAGTGGTCACCTTTGACCTTCTGTGATCTTCCTCCCCTTTATGTGCTCCGATGGCACCATCTGCTTCTCTCTTTGTGGCATTTATCACACTGTACTGTACTTGCCCATTTTCTTGTCTGTTTCCCCCACTGGAAGGTAAGCTGTGTGGTTGCAAGGGACCATTCCTGTCTGGCTCATCTTTTTCCTGCCTGGCACAGTGTCTGTCAGGTTTTAGGTCACAGAATAAACATTTGTTGAGGGAATTAACTCGGTAAATATGTCTCTTACTGGAGAATTATGATGTTGCCTAAATGTGGTTTATGACAACTAACTTCTCTGCAACAATAAATTGAAAATTGGCGTTGTTAATAGATTGGGAATTAATCCTGAAACTTCCATTATATGTTAAAATAAACTTCCAAATTTAGTATCTTTTTTTCTGGTAATAACCTGGGAAGACCTAATGACTTCATTTCCTTTTTGTTTGTTTGAAATTGTGGAATCAATTTAGTTTATTTGGCCCTTTGACTTTATTTAGAGGTGACGGTAAAAAGGTATTTTAGCTGGGCATGGTGGCTCACACCTGTAATCCCAGCACTTTCGAAGGCTGAAGTGGGAGGATTGCTTGAGCCCAGGAGTTTGAGACCAGCCTTGCAACATAGTGAGACCTTGTCTTCATTAAAAATAAAAAATAAAAAAAATAACCGTGTGTGTGTGCATGCGTGTGTGTAAGCATGTGCCTGTGATCCCAGCTACTCAGGAACCTGAGGTGGGAGGATCACTGGAGCCCAAGAGGTCAAGGCTACAGTGGGCCATGATTGCACCACTGCACTCCAGCCTGGATGATAGAGGAGACTCTGTCTCAAAAGAAAAACAAACAAACAAAAAAAACCCCACGTCTTTTAGGCCATCTGTGCATTTAGAAGCCATAAAGGGGTTACTTACCTAACTTAAACTGGATTATCATTCAGATGTGTGTTTTGTGTGAGGGGAAGCAAAATTAGGGTGAATTGGGAGGGTATAGCCCAAACTTCTACAGCCCTCACAAAATTTCAAGCTCTCTTATTCATTATAATTTACAGGATTCTCTTCTTCTCCCAGACATGCGAACACTGCTGTCCCTAGGCCTACCCCCCAACTTGTTTGAATTGCCTGGTTATTATTTGTAGTAGTTAGACTAGTGACATTTCAGTAAGTGAATCTTATTAAACTGACTGATTCATCCTTAGCCTTATGAAAATTTATGGGATTAACTAAAGTTAATATTGCAAATGGAAGCAGTGCTTTTTGAACCCCAAGTGTCTTCAGAAGCTCTGTAAACATCCGTGGGCTGGGCATGGTGGCTCACTCCTGTAATCCCAGCACTTTGGGAGGCCGAGGCGGGTGGATCACCTGAGGCCAGGAGTTCGAGACCAGCCTGGCCAACACGGTGAAACCCTGTCTCTACCAAAAAGAAAAAAAAAAAAAATAAAAAATTAGCCAGATATGGTGATGTGCTTGTAGTCCCAGCTACTTGGGAGGCTGAGGCAGGAGAATCTCTTGAACCCAGGAGGCAGAGGTTGCAGTGAGCCGAGATCACACCACGGCACTCCAACCTGGATGACCGAGCGAGACTCTGTCTCAAAAAAAAGAGGCTCTGTGTGCATCCCGTAGTTGCTTAACTCTATAAATTGGGGCTGTCACTACAGCTTCATAGAACCATTTCAGTATTATTTTTTGAAACACTTTAACCAAATGGCCCTTGGCATTGAAGCATTTTAGGAAATGTCCTTTACTCCAAATGTTTGTGGGTTTGAGAGGAATCCTAAAAGCCCATGAGGCAGACATAATAATAGTATTAATGAGATTTTACGTTAAGCCCTCCTGTTTCATACTAAGTGGTAACTAGTTCTATTTCATCACATTATATCATAAGGTGGGGAAGATTTTATTATGTATTTCATTTAACTCTCATCAGTATTAGAATTTGAGTTATTGTCATATTTTCCATGTGCTTGCCTTCTAAGGTCAGTAAAACAAAGGAGCGGTTGTGGAGAAGAGCGTTTAAACCATTTGTTGGAAAATATATGGCGTAACGTTTGGGTTCTTTCGGCTTTTTTATCTCTGTGGCCTGATAAGCTTTAGCCACGTGGATTCATGGTCTATGTGAAATGTCTTACATTTTATATTAGTTAAAATATTTTATGTCTGCACTTAGAATTTTTTTTTTTTTTTTTTTTTTTTTTTTTTTGAGACGGAGTCTCGCTCTGTCGCCCAGGCTGGAGTGCAGTGGCGCGATCTCGGCTCACTGCAAGCTCCGCCTCCCGGGTTCACGCCATTCTCCTGCCTCAGCCTCCCGAGTAGCTGGGACTACAGGTGCCCGCTACCACGCCCGGCTAATTTTTTGTATTTTTAGTAGAGACGGGGTTTCACCGTGTTAGCCAGGATGGTCTCGATCTCCTGACCTCGTGATCCGCCCGCCTCGGCCTCCCAAAGTGCTGGGATTACAGGCGTGAGCCACCGCGCCCGGCCTCCCCTTCGGTATTTCTAAAGTAGTTATTTTTTACTTTTAATGTCCACGTGGTATTTCTGAAAAACAGACAGGTGTTTAATTTCTTGATAACCAAATATAGACCTGCACATCATGTAGTGTGGTGTGCCCTGACCCAACTTCTTCAGCAAATACAGCACGTGTGGAGTTTATTTATAGTTTGACCTCTAGTCTTCATTGGCTTGTAGTTTATTTGGGGCATAATTCATTAGCGTGACGGGCTGTGGTATTTAAGGGTCAGCTCTGAGGAGAAGGAGATAGAAGAAGAAGCACTGTTCTGGCGTTTGTGCGCTGCTGTGCTGTGTCCGCACCTGGATTACTGTGTGTGTGGAGATGGGCTTGGGTTAGGCAGACCATAGCAGACGGTAGACTGACAGCATAGGAACCTTTGGAATGAAAAGGGGGATGGCTGTAATATAGGAAAGCTTTTAAAGAGGACGTGATGTGAATATATCAAACATAGTAATTATAGGTACCATTTATTGAGTGATTATCATGAGCATACACCGTTATTTACGTACATTAGCTTATTTAAACCTCACAACAATACTCTGAGAGTGCTGTTATTTTGTTTATACAAGGCAGGCAACTGAGTTTTAAGGTAAGTGGCAAATTTGGTTAAGATAAACAAATTTGGTGAACAAATTTAAAAATCTGAAAGCTGGGGAAATCCTTTACAACATCTGTCAAGTGGGTCAGAATATTTGAAAGAAATTTTGGATTCGAATTCATTTCCTCCAGAGATGATATAGCAGGGCAAGTATAAATTAACACTAGTATCTTAACATCCTAAGATTAGAAGGGACCTTTATAGCTATCTAGCAAAGGGTTCGCTAAATTTATTAATTGAAATTACATACATGTCTAAAGAGAAGCTGGGATTGCAGAGAACATTTATTGCCTCCTTGAAAGCCTTTGTTGACAGCAGAATATAAATTCATTAAAGAGATTTGTGTTTTTGTTCCTTAAAATTATATTTAAGATTCCGTGTATTTTACTGTGAAGTTTCACCAAGGGTCAATCTGCATCAAACTGTGGAATGAACTAAACTAATTTGCAGAACTTCCAGAGAAACCCAATACTTTAAATTTATCTGTTAGCCAGGGTATTTTGAAGAGGGGGGGAACCTTTAATGTGAATAAATCTACATTGGGAAGGAATGGAATGTTTGATTTGAAATGGGCTACTGAAATGGAAGAACAGATTAATCGTGAACCCAGCCATTACTTTCCTATTTCTAAATTGAGTCAGTTGAAATATCTGGGAGGGAGTGAGCATACAGTATTTAAAATGAATATAAATTTAAAATTAGAAAAGGTTTTGTTGTAGAAAATATTTTAAAACAAATTGAGCAAAAAGGAAAAATTTGCCAATTACCAGCCATTACTGTGATACAAACATTGTTGAGATTCTGGTATATACATTTCTAGCCTTTTTAAAAACCCACATATATGATATCATTGTGTGAAGACTTACGTATATATTCATATTATAAGTTTAAACAAAAGGTTTCTTGAAGGCAAGACTGGTAACTGACCAATAACTCTTTATGAAAAACTATGTATGTATGTATGTGAGTGTGTGTGTGTGTGTGCGTGTGTGTATATATATATGCACACAATCATATATCAGAGGGAACTTGTAAGTTTGCAATCATATATCAGAGGGAACTTGTAAACAGAACATGTACAGAATTTTTACAACTTAATAATAAAGATAATCCAATTAAAGAATGGGCAAAGTATTTGAATGGTTATTTTTCCAAAGAAGGTATTCAGATGGTCAATAAGCACATTAAAAATGCTCAACATCATTCGTCATTAGAGAAGTGAAAATCAAAATCATAATGAGATACTACTTCACGCCCACCAGAACAGCTATAATAAAAATGACTGATAATAACAAGTGTTGATGAGAAAGTGGATGAATTGGAATCCTCATACACTGTTGGTGGGAATGTAAAATGGTACAGCCACTTTGGTAAATGTCTCGCAGTTCTTTGAAAGGTTAAACATAGAGTTACCAGTTAACTCAGCAGTTCGACTCCCAGTTATCTACCCAAGAGAAATGAAAACGTAACTCTCTACAAAAACTCATACATGACACTATTTGGTTGATGGTTACACTAGAGGCCTGGACTTCACCATTATATGATACATACATATATCAAAACAGCATTAATACCCCCTAGATTTATACCAAAAATAACCCTCGTATGTGAATTTTCATTGCAGCATTATTCGTAATAGCCAAAAAATGGAAACAACCCAAATGTCCATCCGTGATGAATGGATAAACAAAATGTTTCATATCCATATGATGGAATTTTACCTGGCAATAAAAAGGAATGAAGCACTGATACATGCCACAACATTATGAACCCCAAAAAATGCTTAAATGAAAGAGGCCAGTCACAGAAGACCACATATTAATATGACATCATTTATATAAAATGTCCAGAATAGTTAAATCTATACATAGAGAAATTAAATCAGTGTTTGGGGGAAGGGGGTAAGGTCCAGATATGGAGGTGCGATTGGTGACGGGTACAGGGTTCTTTCTGGGGTGCTGAAAATGATGGTGATGGTCACACAACTTTGTAAATATGCTAAAAAGCAGTGACCGTATGCTTTGAAAAGGTGAATCTATGGTATGTAAATTATATATTAATAAAGCTGTTAAAAATATGGTAGCTTATTTTCTGAGATTTCCCGGCTCGTTCCCCATTTCTGTTTTATGTGTACCATCTCTTTTCTTTTTTTTTTCTATTTTCTCTCTCCTGATCAAGCCGTTTCTTGTCGGTGTGAGTTCCTGTCTTAGATGTGAGTCCTGGAGTGTCAGTTTCCAGAGTTTATACCCTTAGACTTTGCTGTGGGCACTTCTACTCACTAACTGGGATAGAGAAAAACTTGTGGTTTCAGCTGCTGTGCTCCCATGGGCAGGCCATGATTGACAATGAGTACCTGTTGGCTGCCTTGTAGATCTGTTCTCTGGCCTGTCAGTCACCCGGCTGCTTCCCTTTGCATCCTTCCTCAGAGATGCCGAGATTCTGCAAGTCTTGTATGTAGTTTGTACCAAAGCCACTTTTATTTTTGGATTCAAGAGGATACTTTCTCACCTAATTTTGTTGTAAATGTTGTCCATGGGTTTTGGTTTTGATATCAGTTGTTCTGTTTTTGTGTGGAGATTTGGGAAAATCAAACAATTTTGCTTCCATTGCTGTGGCCATCTTCCTAGAATTCAGAAGTGTAATCTTTCCGGCTGTTTGAGGAAGAGATTTGGAGGGAATTGATCTGACAAAAACAGAAGATATTGTCCTGGAGATTTTAATGTCCTTGAAAGAACTCTTGGTCTATTAGTCTATTTAAATCTGTTTAAACTCAGAACCTGGCATTAGTAAACACTCAGATAAATATTCTTGGAATGCTGTTGAGTTTGTTGAACGTAGATGTGCAGGAGATGAATGGCTACCTGAATGAGGTGGGCTAGAATTTAGAGCTGGTACCCACTTACCAGTATGGTCATTGAGGGGGCTGGATGAATAGTTTCTCCTCCTTATGCATGCAGATCGGAAACACTTCTGAAGCTTTGGTCAGCTTGTCTCACATGCCTCAGTTTATCACGAATGCCTGAAATGATACATAACTATCATGTTAAGTTTCGGTCTCACTAGGGTATGAATACTAGGGTGTTGATCAGAATGATGCAGATCCTACATGCATCTGAATGAGTGTGCTAGAGACCCTTAATTAATCCTTAGGTGCTGGGTCTGTTTTCCAAGTCCAAGGCTTTGGATTCCGTTTTTGTACATTAAACTACCATAAACCCTGCTTGTGGGTAACCAAAGCACATGTAGTGGTTTAATCATGCAGGACCTTTCCAATTTGGTATGGAGGGAACTGCCTGATCTTTCCTGAGCTCTCTTTTCTCTAATAATCACTTTTGTTTATTCTACTCTTACATGAATCGTAAAATGTTAGTAAATAGAACTATATATGTTATAGAGATGAATTCCCTAAAGGCCCCCTCGATGACAACACTGTGATGTGTGCTCCATCCTTCTCGATCCTCTTATCCTCACCAACACTTAGCGTCAGAGGTTTCATTTGCTTGGTGCTCTGTTTTGCAACATGTCCTTGGAGAAAAGGTTGCTGAGGTTGAAATGAAGGACAAAACCATGCAATGTGCCGTCTGTTGAAGACAGCATATTCTTTTGTGTTTTAACAAAGGCCTGCAATGCTTTAATTAGAAGAAGTTGAATTGGGTGGCAATTTAAGTACCTTGGACATTTTTCAAATCTGGGTGATGCCCAGTGATCTTGGTTTTAAGTAAAGTACGTAAATAATAGAATTATAAGGAATCCAGTGTTTACTTTCTGAGTAGCAGTGAAGAGGCTAAGTGTTTTCCTTCTGGGTTGGCTTCTCAGATGTGTTTCTCAATAAATTCTCTAGAGATATGTGTGTCAAGTCAGCTTGTTAAAAAACAAAGAAACATGAAGGCATGTAGCCCTCACAGTTGGATGCTTTTAAACACTGCAGCTGTTTGAAAGGCCGGAGCGAACGAATTCAATTATGACTGAGAAACCTATCATCTCTCCCTGTTAGTGCTTGTCATGAACATCCTTCTCAAAATAATGGTAGCCCAGGGAAGAGAGTTGTGCAAGGAATATAGACAGCTTCAGTTAACTTCAATTTAAAAAGGAACAAAAGACAAAAAATAAAATGACACTTAATTCTTAAAAGATAAGTGAAGGATTATAATCTTGGTTCACCATGCTAGAAGTTTACTCAAACTTCCATTTTTTTGGGTCTACTCTTTGAAACTGTGCTTTATTTTGTACATAGTGGTTAATTTAACTCTTTAAACAAATGAGTTCTTGGCTTAAAGCTTTTCTGCATTATTATTTACAACCTTTTTTTGGTAATAAAAGATGATCATGGTAAAGTTTATGCAATAGAAAAATATAAAAAGTTAAAACAAAAAGAAAAATAACTTCCCTTTCAATTTTTCATCCTTTCAGGAAGTTATAGATTGATGCATACCCTAGACTTTAAAAATTCATATGACCAGGCGCAGTGGCTCACGCCTGTAATCTTAGCACTTTGGGAGGCCAAGGCGGGCATATTGCCTGAACTCAGGAGTTCGAGACCAGCCTGGGCAACATGGTGAAACCTTGTCTCTACTAAAATACAAAAGAAATTAGCTGGGTATGGCAGCGTGCACCTGTAGTCCCAGCTACTCGGGAGGCTGAGGCAGGAGAATTGCTTGAACCCGGGAGGCGGAGGTTGCAGTGAGCCGAGATTGCACCACTGCACTCCAGCCGGGTGACAGAGCGAGACTCCATCTCTCCAAAAAAAAAAAAAAAAGCATATATACATGTATATATACACACAGACGTACCTATAATTTGTTGTGATGTATGAATTGCATTTTTTTGCAAAAATTATATGTTTACTATTCTGCGACATGGTTTGTTTCACCTAACAGGTCATAGTCTTCTCTCCATATAGCTGAGATCTGGTGAGCTGTATTCTCCCTTTTTGTGTCAGTAAGGGTATTACATACATAATGACCCATACATAAGAAAGATGTCAGGGGAAACTGCAACCCTACCCAAATAGTTTGTCCTTCTCAACCCCTGGCCCACATAGATGTGCAGTACCTAAAAGTCATTTAACAGCTGTCAAATCAATTGCACGGCTGCTGGTGTCATAGAGGATAAGCAGCAGCTGGTGGGCAAGTGTAACCATCCCCATTTCTCTGCATGGGTGGAGGGGGGACAGCAGCAGATGGACATAGTTCTACTCTTGTTCAATTTTTAACTGTAACTTAAGGGCTTTCCTTTAGGTGTTTAATTTTAAAGTAATAAAAAGTGATTTTAGTGAAATACTTAAAAAAAGATTTAGATAAGTTAGAAGAAAAGAATTATCCGTAGTCCCTCGCTACCCAAATATAATTATTGTTAGCATTCTGTGATACTTCTTTTTGTTCATGCCTTTTCTTGAATCTGTTGTTAGAAATGGCACTTTACATCTGTGGTCTTCCTCCCTAAAACCCATCACTCAGTCTAATCATGAGAAAAACATCAGATAAATCCTGACTAAGAAACTTTTAAAAAAAATGCCTCTTGAGAACCCCTCAAAACTGTCACAGTCATTAAAAACAATGAACGTCTGAGAAACTGTCACAGCCAAGAGGAGCTTAGGGAGACATATGACTAAATGTAATGTGTTGTCCTAGATGGGATTCTGAAACAGAAAAAGGACATTTGGGTGTCCATACTGAAGAGGGATGTTAACAATAGAAGAAACTGGGTGTGATTTATAAGGAAACTTTTTCAACTATCTTCACCTTTTCTGTAAATCTAAAACTATTCTGAAATAAGGTCAAATACATCTTTTAAAAAGTACTACAATAATACTATGTATGCAGTTTTGAACTCTGCTTTTTCTTACTGCGCCATCTTTTTAAAAAATCTAGTGATTGTTCACTATTTCTCAGAATGAATATGCTTTGATTCACGTAACTATTGCCTTTGCTGGGGAGATGTGTGTGTGTGTGTGTGTGTGTGTATGTATATATATCCCCCCTACAAAAGCCTATTCTAATTTACAGTTACACCACCTATATATATAAATACCTGATTTCCTTGAACTTTCTCTAGCATTGTGTATAATCTTTTATATCATAATCTTTCCCAAAACTAGTATCTTGATTTAATCTGTATTTCTTTAATGAAGTTCACATGTAAGCATTTCTCCATTAGGTTTATTTTACTGCTTCTCTTAAGAAGTCTCTGTTCACATTAATTGTCCCACTTGAGCCTGTGTTTTTCTTGTGAGTTTTCTTGAGCTGTTTAAATAGTAAACACAAAACTTTTAATAGTAAGCACAAACAGAGATGGGAAATTGGACTTAATAAGTATTCTTTTGTAATGATCCTGTAGAATGCAACTAGGAAGAGGAAAAATTATAATTTATTAAGATAAAAACTAATGTAATTGAAATTCATATCAAAAGAAAATACAGAATGATAGTAAGGAGTAGCTCATTTTCTTTGTATTTGCTTTATTTTGGAGCAGCATGTGTATTTTGGAAATGTTGGGGTTGTTTAACAAAATTGTTTATACTTCCTGCGTTTATTTTTTAAGGTATTTGCTAGATCAAAAATAATACATTTTGTAACTACCTGTTAACATACAAGAATATCTCAAAACATTTAGAATGTAATTTCTTTAAGCAATATGAATAGAGCCTACAATTAAAATATTTTGTTTAGTAATAATGAAAAACTAGTTGTTAGCAAGTGATTTTGTTGCTAGCTGCGAAACTAGAACTAATAATTATCTTAATCCTTTCTCCCCTGCAAAAACCCCACACACTTTTCCCCTAAAAATAAAGAAAGTCATGTTGTGAAGTAGAGGATCCGGTGGAATTAAAAATGCATTGACCCAGGATCTCCTGGTACCTGGCCATGGACAGGAGTAGGTCTTTATCCATGGGTGAAAGGCAGTTCAGTCTGCTGGTTTGGTTTATTTTAGCCCTGCATGCCTGAAACAGACTCTTGAGAGAGGGGCCCAGGAGCACGGGGGCTGCATGTTCTTTCCCCATGACTGCAAATGCCAGAGATACTGTGAAACTGGACTGTGGAACTCATTAACCCGGGCCTGATGGCTGGCAGGCTTCACAGCTTCCTCTGATTTTGACAGGGGATGGAAGATGTTCAGACACCTTGTGTATGTAACTTAATCTCCTTGTGAGCTCTATTTTTGCTTTTTGTGCTTAGGCAGTGTCTATTTTTAGATATTAAAAAGTCTCTCATATCTCTCTTACTTTTACCTTCTTTATAAATTATACCTTTTTTTCTGTACTAACCTGAATTAAAATATTTATACAAAATGATGTTAGAAATCTTTTCATCACAGATAATGCATGATACTGTGTGTGTGTGTGTGTGTGTGTGTGTGTGTGTGTGTGTGTGTTTACTAGGGATGGAAGACCACATGGAAAATGAAATTGTTTTTAAAGTAAAAGTGTATGTACCAAGTAAAATGTATAGATTGGGGTAGACAAATGATCTTTTAAATGGAGAATGTTTCAGATTGCTCAACTTAAAATTTCTTATCCTTTTTTTTGAAGCTATTACCTGAGAATGGAAGTATTTATTATACCAGAATCATTATTATAAACCTTGGTTAGTTCTTATATTGAAAGAATGGAGAAATGTTCTATTCAGTCCTTTGGCATGTTTCAACGAAAGCTTAAGTTGCGGCATAGAAGAATGAAGGTGTATCCCCGGGGAGATGGGGGACAAAACCCTTTTAAGTCTGCCACAAGCTCTAAATTACTTTGACACCTTGTTGTATATTAAGAAGTAATTCAGATTTTAGTTTATTTGATAATATATCTTATGTATTTTAATATAAAGATGTTTTTAAAAGCTTGGCAGTAAAATGATTTAACCCCCCCACTCTCCAGTCTATAAGTCAGAATCATTCTACTAGAATCTGTGCCATGTTCATCCTTGACTTTAGGGCACCCTTGGTGGGTGGTACACATCCTACAGTGTACATAGAGCTCAGTTAATACAGCTTTGCATTAGATGCAGGAGGAAGGGCTCAAGATCTACATGTTTCAGGAGATTCCAAGCAGAGTTTGTGTTTGAAGTGTTCACTTCAGCAAAAGTCCACAGGTTTTCATGATTTGAATAATTCCTCACTGCTTAATGTTCATTTTCTGTTAATTGAAACATTCCTTCATTCATTTGACAAATGTTCCAGTCTCCAGGACTGAAAAAGGGTCTGTCTCCATGGAGTTTACAGTGTAGCTTTTCCTATGGTTTCTAGGTTGATAGATACATTCTAAAACTAGTTAAAACTTGTTGCCTTTATTCTCCAGTAGCTAACAACAACAAGAACAACAACAACAAAAATCAACCCCAAAGCATCTTCATTATCTGGAGAATAAACCTACTGCATTCTGTGAGTGAGAAAATGTAGATTAATCTGTATATTCTGTTAATTCTTGCTAAAAAAGAGAATTTCTTATTGCCAGAGTATTATATTTTTTATTTTGTACATAATTCTTGATAGGAAAGAATAGGTTGTGCTGTTCTTTTGTGAAGGTGAAGTCCTCTGTGCTTTCTGATTATACGTTATTTTCAGCTATTGAAAAAGCTGCTTAATGCCAAGGTCATGTAGTATCAGGCATTGACTAAGGATAGTTATGTGGGTGGACCTTGACTGACATATCTGATGCAAAAACAGTTCTTACTGACAAATTGAATCAGTTATTCACCACCACTGTGCAATCCCCCATGATTGTGGGAGATTTGGGGTTTGGAGATACTGTGACTTCAGAGGAAGAAAGGGGGAAATTAAAAAGAAGTAAGAGAACTAATCCTGGAAACAAGCTGTCACACAAGCTTGAGGGTAGAGCTGGGTCAGGGAGAAGGGGAGTATGTAGAACTTCCTTTTTGAAAATATTTTCCTTGTTTTCAGACTCATTTTTGAAAGCATTTTGATACCACAGCATATTAGAGATGGATGAGAGATCAAGAGATCATCTCATTTTGGTCTAACACTAATATTATGTAAAGGAAACTAAAGCTTGTTTATTTAGAGTGACTTGTCCAGGGTCAGGTGGTTAATTAGTGACAGCATATATGCATCTAGAGTCTAGAAACTTGTTCTGGGTTTTTCCTGTGAGACTTTCTCTTTCTCTGGAGTGCTCATTGCTGATGGGTGATGGTTGCACATGAAGCTGGAGAACTGATCGATGCTATATGGGGGAAAGCTTTGTGTGTCCTTGTGAGGAATTTCACTCTATGTGTGTGTGCTGGAGAGCTAGTGCTGATTTTAAGCATGGATGTGGCTGGGCGTGGTGGCTCATGCCTGTAATCCCAGCACTTTGGGAGGCCGAGGCAGGTGGATCACGAGGTCAGGAGATCGAGCCCATCCTGGCTAACACGGTGAAACCCCTGTCTCTACTAAAAAAAAAAAAATACAAAAAATTAGCTGGGCATGGTGGTGGGCGCCTGTAGTCCCAGCTACTTGGGAGGCTGAGGCAGGAGAATCGCTTGAACCCAGGAGGTGGAGGTTGCAGTGAGCTGAGGTCACGCCACTGCCCTCCAGCCTGGGCAATAGAGTGAGACTCTGTCTCAAAAAAAAAAAAAAAGCATGAATTTACTGTTAGGTTTGTATTTAGAAAGAACACTTTGACTGTGATTTGGAGAATGGGGTGTATTGGAAGTAGTGGCGGTGGTAAATGGGTGAATGGGTATATTAGGAAGCTACTGAGAGTTGTTCATGCAAAAAATGATGGGAACCATGTAAACAGTGGAAGTGGAAAAAAAGTGCGGCTGGTTAGAGCAATATTAAAGAGGAAGAGAAATAGGATTTAGTGATTGTATATTGGTGGTAGGATGGGGTGAAAGGAGGGAGAGAAATGAAGTGTTTTGGTTTTCTAGGGTACATAACAATTCACCTTTCTAATTAATGGCTTAAATCAACAGCAGTTGTTTATTTGCCCACTATTTTGCAATTTGGGCAGGGCTTGATGGATGGCTCATCTGTACTCCACATAGTGTCTGCAAGAGCTGGAATTTTCAGGATGGCTTCTTTACTGGGTGGTGCCTCGGCTGACCTTGTGGTGTCATCTAGGGGCTGGCTGGGAATGGCTCTCCTTTTGGTCTCTCCCCAACGCTAGCATGACCTGCCTTACAGCATGTCAGTCTCCTGGTAGTCTGACTTCCTGCATGGTGGCTGGCTTTTCCCTAGAGCTCAATAGTAGAAACTGTTAGCCTTCTTCATACTGGGGTGCAGAAGTCCCAGAACATTAGTTCTGCTACATTCTTTTGGTCAGAGCAGCCACAGGGCCAGATTGCATTCAAGAAGAAGGGAAATAGCTCCCATCAAAGAATTTATGGGTGCATATTTAATCCATCACTGTCTGCCCTCTGGCCACAAATTATTTACATTTCTTCAAAGGCAAAACACAGTTGCTCACTCCCAAGATGCCCAGCAGTCTCAGCTCATTATAGCATCAGGCTCCGACTCAGATACCAGAATTGCATTCATTAAATCACGTGGGGGTGTAGATAAGGTGGGTTGGGTGTGGTTTCTCAGTTGCAGAGGTGTGTGAACTAAATAAAAGGACAAGTTATTTGTCCCCCAGCCCCCCATATATAAAACAGGAATATGGGGATGATATAAGCCCAGTAGACACCCCTGTTCCAAATGGATGTGGGGCAGTTGGTTACAGTACTGTAGAACAGGTACTGGTCCATAGCAGTTCTGAAATTCAGCCAATTCTCAGCCTCAGCTCTCATTGGGAATGATTTTCTGTGATTTTTGGCTCCATCCTCTGTGTTGTCCCTCCATTCCAGTAAGAAACAGCTGATGTTTGCAGCCAACTCTTTTTTAGCATGCTTCCTGCCTATAGAAGTTTGGGGGTTTGGAGGCCTCCTTTATTTTGGGAGATCTTATTTCATTTATTCTTGATCTCCTGACCTCGTGATCCGCCTGCCTCGGCCTCCCAAAGTGCTGGGATTACAGGCGTGAGCCACCGCGCCCGCCTAATTTCATTTATTCTAAGCTAGTGTAGTACCCCCAAATTTTAAGAACTTTCTGTATATCAAATTACAGTCTACTCTGTTTGAGAAAAGTCACACCCAGAATATCTTTGAAGATAAGATTGGTTCTTCTCTACTTTAGGCTGGGTGTCAGGTTGCTGTGGGACAGCCCCTTAAAGTCTTAGAAACCCCCTTGTCTAGATAAGTGGGTCTGGGAGACAGGTCCTCAGATCTTTGAGGTGAGAAAGAAAAAGGAGTCTTACTTTCTTGATACTAACCATGGGTCCTTTTTACTGTCAGAGCCCTATTTTGGTCCTTGACCTGAGGCTACTTTATACTGTAAAAATCTTTTGCTGAGAGGGACTGCAGATGGAAGTAGCTTTACTTTTGGACCCATAACGTTTTGGGTCCTTTATATTCCCTCTGATTTCTGCTTTTCTTAGCTTGTCTTGCTTCTCCCATACTTTATCACAGGCAGTTAAAGGAAGCCAGTTATACTTCCAGCTTTCTGTTGGGAAATCCTCTTAAGTTGACCCCCAAGTTCATTAGATACTCTCTCTGTTGTGTACATTACAACAGTTTTCCTCATTGTTTGCCAGTTCACAGCTGGTATCTTCTTCTGTCCCGCCTTCAGTAGCCGTTTCCTCACTAGCAGCTCCCACTTTCAGACCCACTAGCCATTTCCTCGAGGCCCTTCAGGCTCCACACAAAACCCATTCCCAAAGCCAATTCCACATGTTTTAGATTTTCTTATGCCAGCACCCACTTCTAGATTCTGATTTTTGTCTTGTTCATTGCGTAACAAACCACCTCCAAACTTAGTGGCTTAAAATGATAACAACGTTTATATACTTAGTACCCTGCAATTTGAATTCTCCTTGGTAAGAACAGCTTATGTCTACTTCACATGGCATCTGCCAGGACTAGAACGTCCAAGGTAGGATCTTCCCTCTTGTGTGTGAAGCCTTGACTGAGTGGCTCAAACACCTGGGGCTGGCCAGGCATCTCTTTCTCTCCATTTGGCCTCTATGCTGCAAGCTTGGCCTTCCTCACAGCGTGGTGGTCTTATGGTAGTCATGACTTTTGTTATAGCTGCTGGATATTTTCAGAGTAGGAAAGTGGAAGTAGCCAAGCCTTAGTACCTCGGCTTGAAGAGCTCAAAATGTTCATTTAATTGCTTCTATTAATCAAAGCAGCCACCTAACCAGGGAAGCAGATAGTATCACTTTTCAGTGGGAAAACTACGAATAATTTGTAGCCATCTCTAGTCTACTATACGAGGGTAATTCCTAGGTTTTTCTGGTTTAGCATTGGTAGATTATGATACTATTCCCTTGAACTGGGTTTTCTGGGAAAGGTCATGCTTCATTTTACATTTCAGAGAAGCCAACTCCAAAACAAACAAATGAAAAACAAAACAAAACAAAACAAAAAAGCAAAGCAAATCAAAACAAACACAAAAACAAAAAGCCAAACAGGAAAAGAAAGACCTGTCAGCTTTGTAGACTGACTTATCTTTTCTCTCCTTGCCGTCTCCACACAATATAATTATATTACTGTTTTCACATTTTCTACCATTTATCTCAGTTTTCTCTTTTTCAGCTACAGAGAGTATCCCTTACATTCTGTATTAGTTCTACTGCCTTTCCTTCTCTTTTCCTCTGCTTCCACTTTATAGTTTCTGGTATCTGCCCTTTATTTTTTGTGTTGTTTAAATTGATATCATCACATCGTGATGTGTTCATAGTTAATTTATGCTTTGTAAGTTGATTTTGGGAGTTGATTATTACTGGACTAAAGGTTTTATGCTAATATGACTGTGTAAATATTCACTAAAGAGTCACTGTGCCATGACTACACTTTTTTGTTTGGCAGCTTTTTGTTTTTCCTGGAGTTTCTGCTTACCATTTTTTTTTCTTGCCTTCTCTGCTTTAATCAGACCCTTAAATTCTTCTAACATCTCAAGCATACTAATTAACCTGTGAAATCCATTCATTTCCTAGATCCTCCTCAGCTAGGGCCCTCAGTTGTCCTGTTTCAGTTGGGACTGATGGCAATGTGTCCTCAAGGTTGGATTCTCTATTTCTTAGATTGTATGGCTTCCTGTTTCTTATTTTACTCTCTTGTTTTGCTTCAGCATATCTTTAAGTAAGCTCTCTAAAATGCTTTTATGTGTAAAATCTCTGAATTTTTTCTCATCTGAAAATGTCTATTCTTTAATCATAATTTTTTTCAGTGTCATAGGCAAAGAAATACTCAAGTGCTCAGAATGTTGTTCCCTAAGGATGCTGTAAATACATTTAAGGGTGTATGATTACTTGTTTCTGTTGTTTTCCCCAAATTTGTTTTCTGATCTTATATTCCTGCTTCATCATTGTTTTTTTCTTTTTCTTATTAATATTTTTGAATTTTAGGAATTACATTCAGACATTAGTTATTGGGTTTTAAAAATTGATAATTAATTATACTAGATGACAAACTTGTGAAATTCTCCTTAACTGGCTTTATTAGGAAATCATTATTGTGACACAAATACAATATGCCTATTTTAGAAAAATCTGTAAAATTTCCGAAATATCTACACCTTTCAGTCCCTATTTAAGAATCTCTTTACTTTTTCCCTGGTGAGATAAAGTTGGATTACTTAAAACTTTTCAGGACAGCTTTGTCTTTTAAAAACATAGTCAACAAGATCTGGAATATTTTAGGCCTTTGGCTAGTGGTGCTTTTTAAGTCAGTTCTGTTGCCCCTTCTTTGAAACAGCTGCTGAGACAATAAAGGTTGAGATATAAACTCCATTAACAGCATTCGTGGCTGGAATAAAAATATGCTTTATTGTTTTAGTATAATGAATGGAACTGTCTGGGAGGCCGACTGATTTTTTTCTACGTCTGTTGAGATGTGAAATTTGCAGCTTGTGGGTTTTAATGAAGGAAACTGGATTAAACATTTACCCCTTACATAAATTATAAGCAGGTGAAATAAGCCTGTGGAACACCTTGTGTGAAAGCAGGAGCTACATTAATAGCAGGTCATGAGAAAAACGAGGGACTTTGTTGAGGAAGTCCAGAGCCAATGGGTTGCAGAACCAACCTGATCCTGCTTATAAATAAAGAGGCTTAAACAAGCCAGCCAATTAAATGGGAGGGGCACAACAACTTACTGCTTGTGGAGCCATGATACTTACCAAGGTATCATTTCTTTTATTTATTTATTTTTATGTATTTATTTTTTTGAGATGGAGTCTCACTCTGTTGCCCAGGCTGGAGTGCAGTGGTACGATCTCGGCTCACTGCCACCTCCGCCTCCCGGGTTCAAGTGATTCTCCTGCCCCAGCCTCCTAAGTATCTGGGACTACAGGTGTGCGCCACCACACCTGGCTGATTTTGTATTTTTAGTAGAGATAGGGTTTCTCCATGTTGTCCAGGCTGGTCTCGAACTCCTGACCTCAGGTGATCCACCTGCCTCGTCCTTCCAACGTGCTGGGATTACAGGCGTGAGCCACCGTGCCTAGCCGTATCATTTATTTTCACTGTTGGATTGTGAACTTCATAAACTATGATTTTGCTGTTTCCAGCAACTCATAGAGAAATACCAGGAATCTTTATAAATAGCCTTTGATTGTATACAGATTATGGTATTAGAACGTTGGAGGAATGGATCTCATATTGTGACTTTTGCAGTTTACCACTCACTTTAAAAAACATTCGCGAAAAGGGCCTTCTAGTTTGAACTGAGTCTTGTACATGTTTGTTCCTGTTTAGATATACCAGAAAGAGGCACGGCGTCTGTGGTGAGGAGTTGCTAAGGAGGAAGTAGCAGTAGATATATCTGTTTTATGCCTACCCTTATCCACTGTTGAGTAGTTACCAACCAGTACATTTCAGGTAACTTGTACCTTTGTCCTACCATGTCTGTCTCAGGCCTCCTTTAACACAAAGGAATGGCAGCATTCTTTTTAGAACATATATTCTAATTGGATAAATATTTTTTGATTTCACACACACTGCCTGCAAACATACTTCTGTACTTAGTGCCTATACTCCTATTGTAAATGGTTATTTTTATACTTGGTACCTTCTATACTGAATGCATTCTCTATGCAGTGATCCTGCACCCCACCTCACCTGTATGCTCTGTCAAATTGTAGCAAGGTTTTGCACATTGCAGTTGCTCAATAAATGTTTGTTGAATGAAATTAATTGGCTACAGTCTGTTCCTGTTGTTTCCCTTTAACTTAAATCTACACAATATTCCTGTATTGAAAGTACAATAACATTATTTGCAGTGCTCAGAATCATTGCCAAGGATATATTTGATTTGCACGTTATACTGAGAAGTAACAATGAACAAATGAATGAACAAAACAGCTAACCACATACTTTTTAATTTTTTTAAAGATTCGCAAATCTAGCGTCTATTGTATTTGAAATATAAAATATATTTATGTTTGCTATTTAATAATAAGGTTTATATTTTGGCAAGTATTTGGCTTGTAGGTGGTTCTGAGCATTCTTTTTCTTTTCTGTGTTTTCCTTAAAATTAAACAAAAATTATACAGCTGAAACATCTGGCAGATCTGATTTAATACATAGCCAAAATGACCATTGTTCTTTCCATGATTGTCAATTCTTTTGATGACCTCTTGTGTTTAATAATGTCGTTTCCTTTTTAGACTTCACAACGGTTATGGCTAGATTGTAAATCTGTGGAATCTAAACTATGGTTCTGCTAAATCTTTGTTAATAAATGAGGAAGTAAAATGAATATGAACTTGAGCTCAAAATTAATGGGTCTGAGATGACAGTAAGCTTGTTTTAAATATCTGAGTTTGCATATCAGCTCTGTTTACTAGTGTCATGACTTTTCTTTCTCTAAGTTAATTATATTTCTCTTGTCTTATAAGGTAATTGTAAGAATCAACAGTAGTTGAAAAGCACTTTGTAGCTATTAGCTGTATATATGAGATTATAATTACCAAGTCATATTACATAATCCATATTTCAAAGCAATTAACATAGGCATTTTCAGAAACCAAATCATTCTGATAGACTGACTCATATTCTTCCTCTAAGAAAATAAATATCTGTATTACTCAAGAAAGAGTTTAGTTTTGTTTTTTTGTTTTTTTTTTTTTGAGACAGAGTTTTGCTCTTGTTGCCCAGGCTGGAGTGCAATGGCACGATCTCTGCTCACTGCAACCTTCGTCTCCCTGGTTCGATTCTCCTGCCTCAGCCTCCAGAGTAGCAGGGATTACAGGCATGTGCCACCACGCCTGGATAATTTTGTATTTTTAGTAGAGTTGGGGTTTCTCCGGGTTGGTCAGGCTGGTCGCGAACTCCCAACCTTAGGTGATCCGCCCACCTTGGCCTCCCAAAGTGCTGGGATTACAGGCATGAGCCACTGTGCCCAGCCAAAGATTTTTTTATATCATTTAAAAAATTTTTCCCCAAGAATGTGGAACCTACAAATTTCTCAGGTCTGGGTAACTCTAAACCGCTGTATTGTTGCACTGAAAAATTTGCTGTTTGTAGGTCTCGCCTGTGCATAGCAAGCCAAGTGGCTATGAGTGGGTAGAATATTATCTGGTGGATCGAATGCGGCAAAGGATATTCACCATCCATTCAGACTTGTAAAATGTTTGGAGCGGAGCCTGGCAGACAATATGTCCCATACAATTTTTATTATATAAATATTAAGAACTGAGACAGTATTAATTGTTCTACTGAAATGATGATTAAATGTAATATTCCAGAGACCAGCCTGGGAGAATGGGGGTGAAATGTGTGAATGTAAGGGTGTTAGCAGTGTCTAAGAGATGACTATCTACCTCTTGTTTAAAGAGTTTGGTAGCAAAAGGAAGGAAAAAACAAAACCAAATGCAGTAGTAAGAGCAAACAAAGACTGAGTGTGTGTGTGTGTGTGTGTGTGTGTGTGTGTGTGTGTGTATTTTAATTTAAATTTATGTATTTTTTGACATTACAAAAGAGATGACGCCCATAGAGAAGAAATGACTGCAGGTCTACATAAGGAAGGGTATACTGTAGGATTTGGAATTCTAGCAAAATAGAGATGGATTAAGGGCTCAGCAAAATGAAAGGAATAACTGTAAATCAGAGAAAAAAGGCTAGGTACAGTGGCTCACTCCTGTAATTCCAGCATTTTGGGAGGCCAAGGCAGGAGGATCACTTAAGGCTAGGAGTTCAAGACAAGCCTGGCAATATATCGAGACCCTATCTCTACAAAAACAAAAATGAAAAACATTAGCTGGTGTGGTGGCGCATGCTTGTAGTCCCAGCTGCTCAGGAGGCTGAGGTGGGAGGATCACTTGAGCCCAGGAATTCGAGGTTGCAGTGAGCTGTGATTCTGCCACTGCACTCCAGCTGGGGGAACAGAGAGAGACTCTGTCTCTTAAAAAAGAAGAAGGTGAAGAAGTAGGACGAGGAGGAGGAGGGGGAAGAAGGGGAGGGGGAGGAAGAACGGAAAGAGTAAGAAGAAGAAAAGGAAAAGGAAAGGAAAATGTCTTCAGTGTATGAGAGGACAGAAGGAGGGACAGTGCGATATTAAAGTGGAATGAGGAGCACATGAGAACATTGATGTGAGGTTGTCTTGCAAGTGCCAGTGAATTAAAAGTGGATTGTCTGCTGTGAGGGTCTTCTCTTCTTTCAGATGACTAGAGAATAAATGAAATATAGGAAATGATCAGCTGAGGGGTGTGATGGAGAATGAATGCTGGTAAGGAAGTAGAAATAAAGTGAGAAGGAGGATATACTAATATTTGGAACATACTGTTTGAACTTTAAAATAGGGTGATTTTTGCATTTATTTTGTGTGCATTTTAAAATACGGCCTTTTGGTTATTTATCCAACACATATTTATATGTTTAATTATTCAGCAAATATTTGTTGAAAATCTTTGGTTTTATAGGGCTTCTGTTTTATCATGGGAAGACAGACATTAAAAAGATAAAAAAGTACAATATTATAGCATGCTAAGTGGTGAGAAGTGCTTAGGATAAAAATTTTACAGGAAAGGGGTTGGGGAGAAAGGAAGAGAAGGACTGAGAAAAAGAAATGATGAAAGACTGGAAAAAGAATGAGAGAAAGCGAGAGAGAGGGTTTCAGTGAGTGTGGCCAATGGAGTTGTCACTGGAAAGACAACAGGTGAGTAAAGATCTAAAGAGAGGGACAGGACTTCCATGGCCACAGGAGGAAGCCTCCTGCTCTGTGGAGGAGCAGTCAGGAGGCCACATGGCTGGAGTGGACTGAGTAAGGGAGAGTGGCAGGCGAGGAGCTCAGAGAGGGAGTAGGGCATCAGATGGTGCAGGGTCTTGTAAACCAGAAGACTGCATGAAATGACTAAGTGGAGCAAGTGTAAATAGAAAAGAGGAAAGGGCCAATCATAGAGCCCTGGGTAGCCCCAAGGATTAGAGTTCTGAGAGATGAGAAGGAATAAGAAAAGGAGTCTGAAGGAGAGCCAGTGAAGTGGAGAAAACCTAGCACAGTGAAGTGTCCTGGTAGCCAAGTGAAAGAAGTATGTCAAAGTTGAGGAAGTGCTCTCTTCTGTCAAATGTACTCCATGGGTCTAATATGATAGGGACTGGGAATTAACCGTTGGGTTTAGCAATGTGGCAGTCATACCGGCTGCTTTGCTGGGGTGGCGGGAGTAATTGCCTGATGTTATATGGGTTCAAGAAGGAAAGGGAGGAGAGAAATCACAGATAGCAAATGCAGGCAACTCTTTTGGAGTTTAACTGCATCTAGGAGGAGAGAATTGGCGTAGTAGTTAGAAAAGGAAGTGGGGTCAAAAGAATTCTTTTAGGATGAGAGATAAAAATAGTGTGTGTGTGTGTGTGTGTGTGTGTGTGTAAACTGATGGGGAGGATAGAGTAGAGAAGGAAAAACTGATGTTGTAGAAGAGAGAGGGGAGAACTGCTACAGCAGTGTCTTAAGTGTGCAGGAGGCCATGACATCTGATATACAAGTTGTTTGTGTGTGTGTGTGTGTGTGTGTGTGTGTGTGTGTGTGTGTGGTGGGGGAATAAGTGGCCTTAGCTAGTGTGTTTGTGCATAGTATCAGGAAAGAAGGCATAGTGTAAGCACAGTTAGATGTGAAGGTCAGAACTTGTGGAAGCTCTCTTTGGATATGTATCCAAAGATAATATAGATCCTCACCTTCCCTCCCCTCCCCTCCCCTCCCCTCCCCTCCCCTCCCCTCCCTTCCTTCCTTATCTATCTATCCATCCTCACACAAATACCTATACATACAACATGATTTTCACGCACTAAATAGAAGAGAAAGATGAGGTTTTTCTCTTTTGACAATTGCTGCCTTATATTCCTTGAAGTTTGCTGTTATTTTCTGGTCTTTTTGTAAATCTCTTTGAAGGTCACATGCAGCATCCTTAAGCTTCCATCATTCCAAGTCTTGAGGAATTACTGTTAGCAAGGCAGAGCGTTAGATTCCAGTTCCCTTTCATCTTTGTGTTTTAACTCTGGGGCTGCCATTACTAAATGAGAATGGGAATCTGTAAGTGAGTGAATTGCTGAAGGTGTCAGTGAAACAGTCTGTTAGTGTCAGAAATTAGTATTAGCACCTTTGAGAATACTCTTCAGCAGCCATGGTGTAAGCCCTATTTTTAGGTGATTCCACATCCTAATCACTCTGGATGTAGTCTTGTACCTAATCTCCTGGACCCAGACCTCTTGACCATTGAGACCTGACTGTCAATTTAATCTCTGTTCTGACTTCTTTTCTTTTCTTTCTCCTGTTTTTTTTTTTTTTTTTGACGGAGTCTCTCTCTGTCGCCTAGGCTGGAGTGCAGTGGCGCGATCTTGGCTCACTGCAACCTCTGCCTCCTGGGCTCAAGAGATTCTCTTGCCTTAGCCTCCCTAGTAGCTGGGATTACAGGCGCCCGCCGCCAGGCCCAGCTAATTTTTTTTTGTATTTTTAGTAGAGACGAGGTTTCACCATGTTGGCCAGGCTGGTCTCGAACTCCTGACCCCAACTGATCTGCCTGCCTCGCCCTCCCAAAGTGCTTGGATTACAGGCATGAGCCACCATGCCCAGCCTCTTCTGACCTTTTCATTTTAAATTTTTGGTTTAGTTACCTGTCTTCAGTACTTATTGTTTCTGTTACTTGTAGGGCCCAGACTTCTGGTTTGCTGAGAATTTCCTACCATCTTTAGTGTTTTAACTTGTAAATTTTCTGGCCTTTTCTGCCAACATTGTCTGCTGGTCCTTGTCCACATCTGACTAGCACAATCGTGTTGATGCCTGATATTGTACTGTGTGCAGTAGCCAACCACAGTACCATAATTGGTTGTGATTTTGTAGTTATTTTTATAAATTGTAATAATTCATATGACTAATTTTATCAAAATGATTTCCTAACATTATGGCAATATTTAATTGGTCAAAATATTATTTTTCTTCTATTTTATTTATTTAACCAGTTTAATTAACTGTTTCTCATAATTATTATTTTGTCATTAAAAAATAACAAAAACTAAAACCAATTCTGGAGATACAATAGTTAAATAAAACCAAGCTTTTCTACAAACTATTCTGTTTCTACTTACAGTGCTTTTCTGAAGAAGCAAAGTACATTAAAAAAACTAATAGTAGCCTCAGAATTAAATAAAAGTACACAGAAAAAAGATGTGGTTGTGGCCTAACTTTAATCTGAAACAGAGACAGTATGATGAATAGTTTTGTCTTTTTTTCCAAAATCTCCTTTCAAGGCTGTTTATAATTCATTTTTGGCTACAGGTTAGCTCATTAATATGAACATGATCAGTCTGTAGAATGAATACTCCTGGAAATATATTGGAATCAAGTAAGCAGAGTGCCGTCCTGTTTTAAGTATGACAGGTTAAGAAAAGTCTGGAATATTGCAGTAGGTCTGTTATTTTTAAAAAACAATCACATGCAAAAAATTTGAACCCAGAATAGATGATGGGCAGCAATAGCTACTATTTTAGTGAGCACTTATGCGCCAAGCATGTGTCTGCTCTCATTTAATTTCACAAATCCTTAAAATAATAATTTGAAGCAGATATCAGTAAACCACTTTATGCACAAAAAACTAAAGTTAGAGCTGCTAATAATAAATTTGTACAAGGCTACACAAACCAATAAACTGGAGAGCTGGTATTGGAGCCTGTTTGAACAATGTTGGAAGGCATGAAATTTTAATTATAACCTATATGCACATATGGTGAGCAGATCATTGAATTGGGTCAGTGTTGTCATACTTTATTACTGTGGACATGTGGAAGACTTGAGGACCATAGTACTCAAGTGTGGTTTGAAGAACTCTGGGGTTCCCTGAAATATTTTCAGGGGGTCAGCAAGTCAAAAGTATTTTGATCATAATGTTAAGATGTTATTTGTCTTTTTCACCATGTTGACATTTGCACTGATGGTGCAAAAGCAATGGTAGATGAAACCACTGGCATCTTAGCATGTATCAATGCAGTGGCACCAAACTCTACTAGTGGTCACTGTATTCATCACAATCAATAATTCATAGCAAAAAACCCAGCCAGACCCACTTCAGAATGATCTTCATCTGCTTATTGAATCAGTAGAATTTATTCAGTTTCTTAAAATTTAACCTTTGAGAACACATTTTTAAAAATATAATACATGAGAAAATGGGAATGGCATACCAAATAGAATGCTCATGTAGAGGAAAAGCATTTGCACAATTTTTTGAGTTGTGTGGTAGGCAGAACTATGGCCCCTTAAATATGTGCTTGCCTTCATCCCAGGAACCTATGAATATATTACCTTGTATGTCAGAAGTTAACTTTGCAGATGTGATTAAAGTTAAGGACCTCGAGATGCAGAGATTATCCTGGATTATCCAAGTGGGCCTAATCTAATAACAAGAGTTCTTAACAGGGAAGAGGAAGGTAGAAGATGGGTCAGAGAGATGTGATGTGAGGAGGACTCAACCCGCTATTGCCGGCTTTGCAGGTGGAAGAAGGGGGCCACAAGGCTGGGAATTTGCATGTCTTTTAGAAACTTGGAACAGCCCTCAGGTGACAGCCTGAAAGAAGACCATAAAGAAATGAATTCTCCCCTAGAGATTCCAGTAAGTATCACAGTCTGCCAGCACCATGATTTTGGTCTGATGAGATTGGTGCTAGACTTCTGTCCTGCAGAACTGTAAGGTAATAAATGAAGTTTGTGGTACTTTATTAAGGCAGTAACAGAAAGCTAATACAAGTTGTAAGCTGAACTAGCCTCTTTTACATGGAACACCATTTTTACTTGAAAGAGTGACTCATAACAAAATGTGCTTCTTCAGTCTTGGGTGTTAGGCAGACATAGTCTTGAAAATGAACAAAGTGATCTTGCCACTTAAAGAAAAACAACTGACAGGGTGTATTTAGACTTTTGGAAAAACTTCTGTTTGTCACTGTGAGCTTGATAGTTTGCTGAAGACTTTGATGAGATTGGTGGTGATATTAGTGAATGTGATGTCTTGATAATACCTAATAGAATATGTCAAAATTTGCATAATTCAGTGAACCAATATTTCCCCAAAGATCAGTGTATGAGTTACAAAATCATGCATTGTTAAAAGATTCTTTTGAAGTGCAAGGTAAAGAAGTGGATTTCAATGGGACAGAATGTAGAAAGTTCACTGATATAGTTTCAGATTTCGCATTGCCACAAACCTCTAAGGAACGATCATTCTTTGGTGGATAGTGTCAAAAGATAATATTAACCATTATCTGACAAAGCTCTGAAAATTTGCCCTTTTCCATTTATATATACTTGTGGGACGTTAGATGTTCTTCATGTCATGGCAGATTGAGTGCAGAAACAGATAAGGGAATCCAGCTACCTTTTATTAAGTCAAGTATTACAAAAATGTTAATATAAATCTTTGCACAAACTTTTTTGTTTTAAAAGTGAAGCTATTTTCATAAAATATTTATTATATAATTATTTGTGATTATATTAAGTGAGTTAATAAATATTTTAAATTTTCTCAGTTATAATTTCTAAAATGATAAATATTGATAGATCAAACCATACACACGAAAGCCCTTAGTGGCCTCTCAACAGTTTTCAAGAGTGAGAATTGCTGTTTTAGAAAACACTTGAAAAATAATGATAAAGATCTAAATTATCAACAAGGAAAAATACCTACACCAGGTTTTCAAGCACAAAAAGGAGATCACAAAACTTTTTGTTTAGAATGAGTCTGCGTATTCAAAATTTTATACCTATATTAACTGTTTTAATATTGAGAAATGGCGGAAAGATGTTCACTAAAATTTCAGTAGTGGTATTCTCTGGATGAGTGTTTTTTTTATTTGTACTTGTCTTTATGGTTTTATTATTTCCCAATGAGCATGTATCATGAAAGAAAATAGCAAATCTGAATCCCAGCACTTTGGGAGGCCAAGGTGGGTGGATCACGAGGTCAGGAGATCGAGACCATCCTGGCTAATGTGGTGAAACCCTGTCTCTATTAAAAATACAAAAAATTAGCCAGGTCTGGTGGCGGATGCCTGTAGTCCCAGCTACTCAGGAGGCTGAGGCAGGAGAATGGCGTGGACCCAAGAGGCGGAGCTTGCAGTGAGCCGAGATCACACCACTGCACTCCAGCCTGGGTGACAGTGTGAGACTCCATCTGAAAAAAAAAAAAAAGAAAAAGAAAAAGAAAATAGCAAATCTGTATTAAAAGCACATTTATTATTTTACAACATGCATTTTTATAAGAACTGTGAAGCCAGGTAAAAAGTGTATAATTTATTCATGAAAACTTCTCTTTCATTGCATTCTTTTCCAGAGCTACTAAATGATAGTCATGGTTTTTGGTCCAAATTTATTGCTCAAGGCTTTAATGCAGTAGTTGGCATTTATATGTTTAAGATGGTCTCATTGGTAGCTTGGCCCAGTAGATATTGATATTCATTAATGCAGCAGTGTGTTAACTTCACTCATCCTTTTGTTTTCTGTTTAGTATTTATGGGTAAGCCTTGTAGGGTACAATTAAACTTATGATGTTTATAAAAATATTATAAATTGTTCAGGTTCATAGCAGGACACGAGGGCTTTAGGGTGCACACTGTTAATCATAAGCAAACACTGTCACAGAAATGCAGTGTTTGATGTCTAGTTTCTGTTCTAATCTCATAGTCTTTGATGTTATCATCTCAAGACTGGAAAATGTCATATTCATTTTCTTGATCCAGTTAACATGATTTTATGAGTGGGTTCAATAAATTAGCAGAATATAGGACAGTTTCTTATCAGTAAAATGAGGATAATAATAGAATTACCTCAAAGGATCAAAGGATAGTTGTGAGGATTAAAGGAGATAAAATATATAAAGCATTTAGAACAGTGCCCAGCACGTAAGTGCTCCGTTAGTGATAGCTATTATTATCTAGAAAGTGCACACGTAAGTTCATAGCAAATATTATTTGCAAAGAGCTAACTTTCCCAGATACTCACGTTCAAATTGTTCATGTATTTGCTTTAGCGATGGTCACGCAGAGGCTGTTATCAGCGTCTCTTTTTAGAACAGGCACCTGCTTTTCAGGTGACACTCTTAATTTGATTAATACTGTCTTCTCATATGAAAACACTCTAGGTTCAGGCAAGAACCTGTTTAGTATTGTGATCTAGGAGGGTGAGCAGAACCACCATTTTCTCTTTGATTCTTTGCTTGCTTATTCATTGGTTAGTTCACTTCACAAACGTTTTGCGTGGGAGCCATGTGCTAGGCCTTGTGCTTGGGATAGGTAAGGGGCATGAGACACATCTGTGGGAGAGGAAGATGCCATTGGGTGGCTAAATATAGTGCCATAAGTGCTGTGAGGGGGAAGCACTGGGTTGCTGTGGGTGATTTAGAGGTGTGCATTGCTGCCACAGGCTCTGGGTTAGGGTGCCTTTGGGAAGGGCCATGGAGGGAAGTTTTTTTGAGGGGAGTTGTGAGCAAATAGGCCTCCCAGGCTGCTGAGCAGTGAGCAGTCTATGCTTTGTTCCTCTTTGTTCCTCCTTCTCTGAGGACATCTTATTATCTGCTGATGTGCCTTATGGGCAATTTGCATGGAAGATTTATTAGTCATGTTTTTATGTTCTTCACATTTTATTCACTGGGCTGAAAGAAGCATTTGTGTTTATCCAATATTTATAAGGCAATAAAATTTAAAAATTTTTAAGAATATTTAATAAAGGCATAGAGGTTTCAGAAAGATTTTTCTTCAGTTATTTTAACCATAACTGGAGTTTTAAACATTTAAGGATGATTTTTGTTTGTTTATTTCAGAGTTGTGGAAGGAATAATCTTTCCAAAGTTCTTTTTTTTCTGAATCAGCCCACAAATTCATAGATTAATCATAAGAAAACCATTTAGCTGGTATTTATGTAAAGAAATATGTTATCATCACTGAATTTTCAAATCTTTGGGCTCATATTCCTGTATTTTGCGGTGGCAACCTTTTTTTTTTTTTTAAAGAAACTTTTTTTTTTTCCTTTATCTTTTCTGGTTCCCAAATTAAAGTAGAATTTTGGAGAAACTGGAAAGTTACTGTCAGGTTGACTGGATGTAGTGCTGCAGGGTGTCCAGAAAGGAATATGCAGCTCATTGGAGGTGAGGTTTTTGAGATGGAGTCTCGCTCTGTCGCCCAGGCTGGAGTGCAGCAATCTCAGCTCGCTGCAACCTCTGCCTCCCGGGTTCAAGCGATCCTCCTGTCTCAGCCTCCCAAGTAGCTGGGACTACAGACACCCACCAGCATGCCCAGCTAATTTCTATATTTTTAGTAGAGACGGGATTTCACCATGTTGGCCGGGCTGGCCCTGAACTCCTGATCTCAAGCGATCTGCCCGCCTCAGCCTCCCAAAGTGTTAGGATTCTGTAATCCCAGCACAGGCGTGAGCCACTGCACCTGGCCTGGAGATAAGTTTTCTTTTTATCATTATTATTATTATTTTTTTTTATTATACTTTAAGTTTTAGGGTACATGTGCACAATGTGCAGGTGGTGTGCTGCACTCATTAACTCGTCATTTAACATTAGGTATATCTCCTAATGCTATCCCTCCCCCTTCCTCGGAGATAAGTTTTGAAATGGTTTAAGAGCTGGAGAGCAGCAGATGAGAAAGAATAGTTCAGGAAAACTGGTAGGCCATGTACCCAGGAAATAGATGATGAAGTAAGAATGAGTGCTCAGCAAGGAATTGAGAATCTTGTAGGAGACATAAGGCAAGAAGACCAGTTATATACAGTAGCCCCGCGTTATCAGTGGGGGACACATTCCAAGACCCCTCATGGATGCCTGAAACTGTGAATGGTACCAAACCCTATTTACACTCTGTTTTTTTCCTGTACATATGTACATACATACATACATATGGTAAAGTTTAATAGGCCCAGCAAGAAATTAGCAACAATAATAATAAGACAGAACAATTATAACAATATACTGTAATAAAAATTATGTGAATGTGGACCCTCTCCAAAATGCCTTATTGTACTGTACTGCAGGTAACTAAAACCACAGAAAGTGAAACTACAGATAAGGAGGGACTACTGTACGAGTCCAAATGTATTAAGTGCAATGAGGATAAAAACAAAATGTTTTAGTCATTTATTCAGTAAATAAATAAATTGGTTGAGTGCCTACTATAGCCACGGTTGAGGTGAGGGTAAGATCAATTCTGTTTAAAGAATTCAGAATTCAGGATAGGCTTTTGTTGTTTTTGTTGTTGGGGAGACAAGGTCTCACTCTGTTGCCCAGACTGGAGTGTAGTGGCGCAATCTCAGCTCACTGCAGCCTCCACCTTCTGGGTTCAAGTGATTCTTGTGCCTCAGCCTCCCGAGTAGCTGGGACTACAAGTGCTCACCACCACTCCCTGCTAATTTTTGTATTTTTTGGTAGAGATGGGATTTCACTATGTTGGCCAGGGTGGTCTCAAACTCCTGGCCTCAAGTGAGCCGCCTGCCTCTGCCTCCCGATATGTTGGGATTATGGGCGTGAGCCTCTGTGCTCGACCGAAGATAGGCTTTTGATAGAGTTCATGACATTTAACTTGCCCTTAAAGGGTATACAGAGATAGAATTCTAATGCAGTGCTGTCCAATTAAAATATAATGTGAGGTTCATGTAAACTTTCTAGTAAACAGATTAAAAGAAGTCAAAAGAGACGGGTGAAATTAATTTGAATTGTATATATTATTTAACCCAGTACGCACAGAATATTGTAATTTCAGCATTATAATCAATATAAAATTATTGAGATATTTAACATTTTTCACACTAAGTCCTTGAAATTGACTCTGCATTTTACATGTCAAGCACATAGCACATCTCAATTCAGAAGCTAACTTTTCACTGGAAATATGTGATCTAAATATAGAGTTTATAAAATTTAACAGTTGAAAAACAAAATTCACATACAGTTTGTTCCAGTCATACTTTAAAGTTTTCCAATAACTGAATAGGGCATCTGTTTTAAAATTTTAATGTATATTAAAGTTAATTCAAATTAAAACATCTTTTTCCTAGTCATATTAAATTCATCTCCACCCATGGCTAAAAGCTACCATATTGAATAACACAATTTTAAAGAGCTCGAAAAGAAAGTTTTGTAGGCAGAAAGACCAGTATATGCAAAGGTGTCAAGGAAAAAAGTTGGAGCAGTGTTGAGGAAGCAGCAAGCAGCCCAGTGTAATTTATTTGAAATGAGATAGTGAGAGAAAAACCTGGAATGATATTTGGGAGTCATGGATGCTTAGTCTCCAAATTGGAACTTCATGTAAATAGACATTGGACACTCACAGGTTAAACCTTTTGGGAAAAACTTTATAAGAGGAATGAGAGGCTGCATGTTTTGATTTAGGCTGATTAATCTGGCTGAATTGTTTAGGGTGGATTTGAGAGCCAAGGGGAAGGAGAGAGGCTGGAGGTGAGGATATTAACAAAGAGCTAATCGCCAAGTGGAAAGAGCTAATGAGAGCCTGAAGTAGAAAAGTGCTGGAGATTCCCCATCCTAAAAAGATTCCCTTTTACTGAATCAGCCTCCCTCAATGGGTTTCCTAGTGTTCAACTCTTTCTGTGCTGTTACAAATATTATGTTGTGTCTCTAGTATATTGTCTGCTAGTATTTCATTTATTAATTTCCCATCTATCTCCATAGATTGGTACTGTAAACATGTGGCCGTACAGCACTTATTTCATTGTATCATTGTATATTATTTTGTGTGTTTGGATCTATTCATTTTAGAGTCTGAGCCATCAGCGAAGAGAGACCATTTCATTTTCATGTTTGCATGCTTAGCGCCTAGCATACTTAGGGCCTCTGGTGTTCTGGTTGCACTGAGAAGAAATTCAATAAATGTTTCTTGATTTGACTGAACCTGCAATGATAGTAGTTTGTGGATGGCACAGACTTGGGGATGCCAATAACTTTGACTCATATCTGGGCAATAAGGAAGCAACTGAAGGTGGGGGGTTCATTTCAAGGTGAAGTGCTAGAGGTTTCAAGTCAAATTTTTATTGGGGAAAAGTTGAAGCAACAGTTTGAAGCAGTTTCTGGTATGCCCCTGTTTCTTTTTAAGCATACACAAGAAATTTAAATCATTGGAGAAATCCTATTACTTGATATAGGCAAATATATTACCCCTTACAATTTGTTTAAAATTAGAAATCCTAAAACTGATGGTGAAAAGCCAGGTATAGTTATTTCGACAGTGAATGACTGAGTGGCAGTTATAGGCCATTCACCCACTGGACAAATAGGGACGGTGAGGAAGGACTGGTGTTTGTGGGACATGATGATTTCCTCATAATAAATTGGAGACTTTTTGTACATCATGGAGTTAGTTGATAATGAAGAGGAGGTGGAGAAAAATAGTTAATATTTATTAATTTTATTTACAAGTTAATTCATCCACTTTATTAACATTATTAAGAACCTATGTTAGATACAATGTTAGGTGCTTTATACAAACTTTATTCTCACAGTTTTTATAGGTTACAGGTATTATCCCTATTTTATAGAGGATGATACTGAAGTTAAGAGAGTTTTAAAAGTGTGCCAAAAATCACATAGTAAGTGATCTAGCTGGGAATGGAACCCAGATCTGTCTTACTGTAAAATTTTGACCATTTATAATTGGGCATAGTAGATGTTACAGAGAGGGCATTTTGGAGTTAAAAAAAGGTAGGGGGAAAGGTAAGGATCTTTTTCTAGAACAGAAGCTCCTCTTCTGTTCATTTGGATGGTGATGATGAAAACTCTTCCAGTGGCATAACACCAGAAATTATGGGGACTGCATTAGGCTAGCTTTGTCAGGACTCCCATAGGAGGTGGTCTTGTGGAAACCATGATAAAGAATAAGAAGGTGTGAATATTCTCCCTTTTTTCACTTCTTCACATAACGTAGGTAGAGTTAACGTGTGGGAACATAAAATGCCGAGAAGGTGAAATGAAGGAAATAGGGATTGATTGTTTGTAAATTCAGTGTTTCATGCCTTGAAGATTAAAAAAAAAAAAATCTTATCTAGTTCATTACCGTTCTAGAGACAGACAGATTTAAAAAGTGTCTGCCTTTTTTTTTTGGAGATGGAGTTTTGCTCTTAGGCCCAGACTTGAATGCAATGGCGTGATCGCGGCCCACTGCAACCTCCACCTCCTGGGTTCAAGTGAGTCTCTTGCCTTAGCCTCCCGAGTAGCTGGGATTACAGGCACCAGCCACCATGTCCGGCTAATTTTTTGTGTTTTTAGTAGAGATGGGGTTTCACCATATTGGTCAGGCTGTTCTTGAACCCCTGACCTCAGGTGATCCACCCGCCTCGGCCTCCCAAAGTTCTGGGATTACAGGCATGTCTGCCTCTTAATAGAAGGGTCAGATGAGGCTAGGCGCGGTGGCTCACGCCTGTAATCCCAGCACTTTGGGAAGCCGAGGCGGGTGGATCACTTGAGGCCAGGAGTTCGAGACCTACCTGGCCAACACAGTGAAACCCCGTCTCTACTAAAAATACAAAGGTTAACTGGGACACTTCGGAGGTTGAAGCATGAGAATCGCTTGAATCTGGGTAGCAGAGATTGCGGTGAGCCAAGACTGCACCACTGCACTCCAGCCTGGGCAACAGAGCAAGACTCTTTCTCAAAAAAAAAAAAAAAAAAAAAAAAAAAAAAAAAAAAGAGTCAGATGAACAAAACTGATATACTTCAACACTAGCTTTCTTTTAGCTATCTTAATTTTATCAATAATGGTAAATGTGTTGTTTAGTTGATTTTTATCAACTAAAACTGGGAGTTTTAGCTGACCCAGGAGAGTGAAAGGGCTCTCTTTGAGACTGATAATCATTTTCTGACATGAGGCTATTTAAGGACTCAAGAACTTCTAATGTCAATTAACCATGAAATATTTTAATAGTGCTTAGTCTTTGCTCAATAGGTTGGTCTGTGCTATGTTTGTAATAGATGTAAGTCAAATCGACATTTTGGTTTATGAGATTCCATGTTTCAGAAGAGGCTATTGGATTCTTAAAGTGTTTATTCAGTCATCAAATATTTATTAAGTATTGAACTCATGTTAGGCATTGTGACAGACATGGGGTATTTAGTGGTGAACAAAATATATATTTTCCTGCTGTCATATTCTTTGAAATCTAGTGAGGTTGGCAGACTTTAAAAAGACAGTAACACAAATGAATATACTGTCATACATTTTGATAATATTTGTCATTGCACATATTGATTTCATTGAACACTAGAGATGTACTTTTTTAGACATATCTTGAAAAGCTGTGTGTGTGTGTGTGTGCATGTGTGTATGTATAAAAATTCACGTTTGTGTAAATCAAGTAATAATTTAGCTTTGTGATTTTGAGCTAGTCATTTCGCTTCTCTGGATTTTAATTTTCTTGTTTATCATGTAGCAATTTATAGAAGATCTTTGTAGAAGTTTCTGAGGTTAAATTCAGTCATGATGTTATGTGATTGAGATGTTTATATACTGTTTTTTTAATGTTGCTCAACACCTAAATTAGTTCATTTTGTACCTGAAAATAGAAGTAAGACTTGTTAAATACTAAATTCACCCAATTTGCATCAATAGTTATAAAACTGCCATACTGCAAATGTTGAACGTTTTGCAGAAGCTTAAATATGAAGCTTTGAAAGGTATTGTAGAAATTCTAGATTCTAAGTTCTATTCAAAACCTGTTTATTTTCTTCAGCTGGATATGTATTTGATGTGAATCTTCTAAACTTGAAACAAACACTTGATGGCCATCAGTTTTCCAGTTTATTAGTTTTTAATAGATAATTTTTTAGAGCACATTTAGAAGTATAGAAAAATTGAGAAGATAGACCAATTTATTTTCACAGTGGAAGTAATAGGCCCTATCTTGGATAGTTGTGAGAATAAGAATTATTGAATGTAAAAGTTTTAGCATAGGTCCTCATTCCTACACAGCTATCATTGTGATCAACTTTTTCCCTTCATTATGCTAACTCCTACACTAAAAGAGAGCTAGGTATCTGTTTATCTTTTCAGTTAACAAAAGAGAAAATTCTATTGTCATGCCCAGATTTCCATCTGTATCACTGATGACTACCGAGCACAAATCTGTTACACCATTTAATGTTTTCTCTCATTGTTTAGATAATTAGTTCAGTGATCTTTGTTTCCTTTTTCTAACCATGGAATTTTATGAAAATCTAGAGATCAAGAGGAAGCAACATAAGAATGAGTAGGTGATTTTTGTATTTTTTTCAAAAGCTGATCATTTTAAAACAAAACATTCCAAAAGTTTCTAGCTATTAATATAGAGTTAATATGCATTTGAAGAATTTTCAATAACTTAAACCAACTTTTAGTAAAATTGAACTTTAAAATATATTGACGTGCGTTTATTACATAAGCTGGTATGTGTGGAAAACAAAGGCAAAGATTGAGCAAAAGATATGGAGTAAAATCATGCTGATGTATTTTACACTAACAAAAAGCCACATATAGCCATAGTACTAATGTACTACTCTTTAACATATTACAGTAATTGTAATTTATGGCTTTGAAACTTTTAAGGTATGAAACCCCCAAATCATGTTTATATTTGAAAGAGAAACTTAAGGCAATAAATAATTTGTAGCAATTAGAAGTATATTTTGCATGCCATTAATATATAATTGTATGCTACTTTTATATATTCATTGTAGCAAAGATTCACCAGTGAACTCTATCAGGCCCGGTTTATGATAGATATGTAGATAGATAGGTAG